>NC_000011.10:52128714-52368918 GCF_000001405.40 Homo sapiens | reverse complement strand
TCTGTCTAGGTTTGATGTGAAGATATACCCGTTTCGAAGGAAGGCCACAAAGTGGTCCAAATATCCACTTGCAGATTCTACAAAAAGAGTGTTTGAAAGCTGAACTATGAAAGCAAGGTTCAACTCTGTGAGTTGAATGCAAACATCACAAAGAAGTTTCTCACAATGCTTCCGTGTAGTTCTGGGAAGTTTATCCCGTTTCCAACGAAATCCTCAGAGAGGTCCAAATATCCACTTGCAGATTCTACAGAAAGTGTGTTTGGAAAGTGCTCCATCTAAAGGAATGTTCAGCTCTGTTAGTTCAATGCAATGATCACTAAGAATTGTCTGTGAATGCTTCCGTTTGGTTTTTAGATGAAGTTATTTCCTTTACTACAGTAGGCCTCAAAGCAGTCCAAATCTCCAATCGCAGATTCTACAAAAAGATTGTTTACAACCTGCTCTATCTATAGTAATGTTCAACTCTGTGAGTCGAATGCAATCATCACAAAGTAGTTTCTGAGAATGCTTCCATCTAGTTTTTATGGGAAGATTTTCCTTTTCCATCACAGGCCTCAAAGCCCTCTAAATGTCCACTTGCAGATTCTAGAAAAAGAGGGTTTCAGAGCTGCTCTGTCAAGAGGAAAGTTCAATTCCTGAAGTGGAACACAAACATCACAAAGCACTTTCTGAGAATGCTTCTGTTTAGTTTTTCTGTGAAGATGAACCCGTTTCCAACGAAATCTTCACAGAGGTCCACATATCAACTTGCAGAATCCAAAGAAAGAGAGTTTCAAAAGTGCTCCATCAACAGGATTGTTCACCTCTGTGAGTTGAATGCAGTCATCACAGGAAACATTCTGAGAATGCTTCTGTCTAGGTTTGATGTGAAGATATACCCTTTTCAAAGGAAGGCCACAAAGTGGTCCAAATATCCACTTGCAGATTCTACAAAAAGAGTGTTTGAAAGCTGAACTATGAAAGCAAGGTTCAACTCTGTGAGTTGAATGCAAACATCACAAAGAAGTTTCTCACAATGCTTCCGTGTAGTTCTGGGAAGTTTAGCCCGTTTCCAACGAAATCCTCAGAGAGGTCCAAATATCCACTTGCAGATTCTACAGAAAGTTTGTTTGGAAACTGCTCCATCTAAAGGAATGTTCAGCTCTGTTAGTTCAATCCAATGATCACTAAGAATTGTCTGTGAATGCTTCCGTTTGGTTTTTAGATGAAGTTATTTCCTTTACTACAGTAGGCCTCAAAGCAGTCCAAATCTCCAATCGCAGATTCTACAAAAAGATTGTTTACAACCTGCTCTATCTATAGGAATGTTCAACTCTGTGAGTCGAATGCAATCATCACAAAGTAGTTTCTGAGAATGCTTCCATCTAGTTTTTATGTGAAGATTTTCCTTTTCCACCACAGACCTCAAAGCCCTCCAAATGTCCACTTGCAGATTCTAGAAAAAGAGGGTTTCAGAGCTGCTCTGTCAAGAGGAAAGTTCAATTCTTGAAGTGGAACACAAACATCACAAAGTAGTTTCTGAGAATGCTTCTGTTTAGTTTTTCTGTGAAGATGAACCCGTTTCCAACGAAATCTTCACAGAGGTCCCCATATCAACTTGCAGAATCCAAAGAAAGAGAGTTTCAAAAGTGCTACATCAACAGGATTGTTCACCTCTGTGAGTTGAATGCAGTCATCACAGGAAACATTCTGAGAATGCTTCTGTCTAGGTTTGATGTGAAGATATACCCGTTTCGAAGGAAGGCCACAAAGTGGTCCAAATATCCACTTGCAGATTCTACAAAAAGAGTGTTTGAAAGCTGAACTATGAAAGCAAGGTTCAACTCTGTGAGTTGAATGCAAACATCACAAAGAAGTTTCTCAGCATGCTTCCGTGTAGTTCTGGGAAGTTTATCCCGTTTCCAACGAAATCCTCAGAGAAGTCCAAATATCCACTTGCAGATTCTACAGAAAGTGTGTTTGGAAACTGCGCCATCTAAAGGAATGTTCAGCTCTGTTAGTTCAATCCAATGATCACTAAGAATTGTCTGTGAATGCTTCCGTTTGGTTTTTAGATGAAGTTATTTCCTTTACTACAGTAGGCCTCAAAGCAGTCCAAATCTCCAATCGCAGATTCTACAAAAAGATTGTTTACAACCTGCTCTATCTATAGGAATGTTCAACTCTGTGAGTCGAATGCAATCATCACAAAGTAGTTTCTGAGAATGCTTCCATCTAGTTTTTATGTGAAGATTTTCCTTTTGCACCACAGGCCTCAAAGCCCTCCAAATGTCCACTTGCAGATTCTAGAAAAAGAGGGTTTCAGAGCTGCTCTGTCAAGAGGAAAGTTCAATTCTTGATGTGGAACACAAACATCACAAAGCAGTTTCTGAGAATGCTTCTGTTTAGTTTTTCTGTGAAGATGAACCCGTTTCCAACGAAATCTTCACAGAGGTCCACATATCCACTTGCAGAATCCAAAGAAAGAGAGTTTCAAAAGTGCTCCATCAGCAGGATTGTTCACCTCTGTGAGTTGAATGCAGTCATCACAGGAAACATTCTGAGAATGCTTCTGTCTAGGTTTGATGTGAAGATATACCCGTTTCGAAGGAAGGCCACAAAGTGGTCCAAATATCCACTTGCAGATTCTACAAAAAGAGTGTTTGAAAGCTGAACTATGAAAGCAAGGTTCAACTCTGTGAGTTGAATGCAAACATCACAAAGAAGTTTCTCAGAATGCTTCCGTGTAGTTCTGGGAAGTTTATCCCGTTTCCAACGAAATCCTCAGAGAGGTCCAAATATCCACTTGCAGATTCTACAGAAAGTGTGTTTGGAAACTGCTCCATCTAAAGGAATGTTCAGCTCTGTTAGTTCAATCCAATGATCACTAAGAATTGTCTGTGAATGCTTCCGTTTGGTTTTTAGATGAAGTTATTTCCTTTACTACAGTAGGCCTCAAAGCAGTCCAAATCTCCAATCGCAGATTCTACAAAAAGATTGTTTACAACCTGCTCTATCTATAGGAATGTTCAACTCTGTGAGTCGAATGCAATCATCACAAAGTAGTTTCTGAGAATGCTTCCATCTAGTTTTTATGTGAAGATTTTCCTTTTCCACCACAGGCCTCAAAGCCCTCCAAATGTCCACTTGCAGATTCTAGAATAAGAGGGTTTCAGAGCTGCTCTGTCAAGAGGAAAGTTCAATTCCTGAAGTGGAACACAAACATCACAAAGCAGTTTCTGAGAATGCTTCTGTTTAGTTTTTCTGTGAAGATGAACCCGTTTCCAACGAAATCTTCACAGAGGTCCACATATCCACTTGCAGAATCCAAAGAAGGAGAGTTTCAAAACTGCTCCATCAGCAGGATTGTTCACCTCTGTGAGTTGAATGCAGTCATCACAGGAAACATTCTGAGAATGCTTCTGTCTAGGTTTGATGTGAAGATATACCCCTTTCGAAGGAAGGCCACAAAGTGGTCCAAATATCCACTTGCAGATTCTACAAAAAGAGTGTTTGAAAGCTGGACTATGAAAGCAAGGTTCAACTCTGTGAGTTGAATGGAAACATCACAAAGAAGTTTCTCAGAATGCTTCCGTGTAGTTCTGGGAAGTTTATCCCGTTTCCAACGAAATCCTCAGAGAGGTCCAAATATCCACTTGCAGATTCTCCAGAAAGTGTGTTTGGAAACTGCGCCATCTACAGGAATGTTCAGCTCTGTTAGTTCAATGCAATGATCAGTAAGAATTGTCTGTGAATGCTTCCGTTTGGTTTTTAGATGAAGTTATTTCCTTTACTACAGTAGGCCTCAAAGCAGTCCAAATCTCCAATCGCAGATTCTACAAAAAGATTGTTTACAACCTGCTCTATCTATAGGAATGTTCAACTCTGTGAGCCGAATGCAATCATCACAAAGTAGTTTCTGAGAATGCTTCCATCTAGTTTTTATGTGAAGATTTTCCTTTTCCACCACAGGCCTCAAAGCCCTCCAAATGTCCACTTGCAGATTCTAGAAAAAGAGGGTTTCAGAGCTGCTCTGTCAAGAGGAAAGTTCAATTCTTGAAGTGGAACACAAACATCACAAAGTAGTTTCTGAGAATGCTCCTGTTTAGTTTTTCTGTGAAGATGAACCCGTTTCCAACGAAATCTTCACAGAGGTCCACATATCCACTTGCAGAATCCAAAGAAAGAGAGTTTCAACACTGCTCCATCAGCAGGATTGTTCACCTCTGTGAGTTGAATGCAGTCATCACAGGAAACATTCTGAGAATGCTTCTGTCTAGGTTTGAAGTGAAGATATACCCGTTTCGAAGGAAGGCCACAAAGTGGTCCAAATATCCACTTGCAGATTCTACAAAAAGAGTGTTTGAAAGCTGAACTATGAAAGCAAGGTTCAACTCTGTGAGTTGAATGCAAACATCACAAAGAAGTTTCTCAGCATGCTTCCGTGTAGTTCTGGGAAGTATATCCCGTTTCCAACGAATTCCTCAGAGAGGTCCAAATATCCACTTGCAGATTCTACAGAAAGTGTGTTTGGAAACTGCGCCATCTAAAGGAAAGTTCAGCTCTGTTAGTTCAATGCAATGATCACTAAGAATTGTCTGTGAATGCTTCCGTTTGGTTTTTAGATGAAGTTATTTCCTTTACTACAGTAGGCCTCAAAGCAGTCCAAATCTCCAATCGCAGATTCTACAAAAAGATTGTTTACAACCTGCTCTATCTATAGGAATGTTCAACTCTGTGAGTCGAATGCAATCATCACAAAGTAGTTTCTGAGAATGCTTCCATCTAGTTTTTATGTGAAGATTTTCCTTTTCCACCACAGGCCTCAAAGCCCTCCAAATGTCCACTTGCAGATTCTAGAGAAAGAGGGTTTCAGAGCTGCTCTATCAAGAGGAATGTTCAATTCCTGAAGTGGAACACAAACATCACAAAGCAGTTTCTGAGAATGCTTCTGTTTAGTTTTTCTGTGAAGATGAACCAGTTTCCAACGAAATCTTCACAGAGGTCCACATATCAACTTGCAGAATCCAAAGAAAGAGAGTTACAAAACTGCTCCATCAACAGGATTGTTCACCTCTGTGAGTTGAATGCAGTCATCACAGGAAACATTCTGAGAATGCTTCTGTCTAGGTTTGATGTGAAGATATACCCGTTTCAAAGGAAGGCCACAAAGTGGTCCAAATATCCACTTGCAGATTCTACAAAAAGAGTGTTTGAAAGCTGAACTATGAAAGCAAGGTTCAACTCTGTGAGTTGAATGCAAACATCACAAAGAAGTTTCTCACAATGCTTCCCTGTAGTTCTGGGAAGTTTATCCCGTTTCCAACGAAATCCTAAGAGAAGTCCAAATATCCACTTGCAGATTCTACAGAAAGTGTGTTTGGAAACTGCTCCATCTAAAGGAATGTTCAGCTCTGTTAGTTCAATCCAATGATCACTAAGAATTGTCTGTGAATGCTTCCGTTTGGTTTTTAGATGAAGTTATTTCCTTTACTACAGTAGGCCTCAAAGCAGTCCAAATCTCCAATCGCAGATTCTACAAAAAGATTGTTTACAACCTGCTCTATCTATAGGAATGTTCAACTCTGTGAGTCGAATGCAACCATCACGAAGTAGTTTCTGAGAATGCTTCCATCTAGTTTTTATGTGAAGATTTTCCTTTTCCACCACAGGCCTCAAAGCCCTCCAAATGTCCACTTGCAGATTCTAGAAAAAGAGGGTTTCAGAGCTGCTCTCTCAAGAGGAAAGTTCAATTCCTGAAGTGGAACACAAACATCACAAAGCAGTTTCTGAGAATGCTCCTGTTTAGTTTTTCTGTGAAGATGAACCCGTTTCCAACGAAATCTTCACAGAGGTCCACATATCCACTTGCAGAATCCAAAGAAAGAGAGTTTCAAAACTGCTCCATCAACAGGATTGTTCACCTCTGTGAGTTGAATGCAGTCATCACAGGAAACATTCTGAGAATGCTTCTGTCTAGGTTTGATGTGAAGATATACCCGTTTCGAAGGAAGGCCACAAAGTGGTCCAAATATCCACTTGCAGATTCTACAAAAAGAGTGTTTGAAAGCTGAACTATGAAAGCAAGGTTCAACTCTGTGAGTTGAATGCAAACATCACAAAGAAGTTTCTCAGAATGCTTCCGTGTAGTTCTGGGAAGTTTATCCCGTTTCCAACGAAATCCTCAGAGAAGTCCAAATATCCACTTGCAGATTCTACAGAAAGTGGGTTTGGAAACTGCTCCATCTAAAGGAATGTTCAGCTCTGTTAGTTCAATCCAATGATCACTAAGAATTGTCTGTGAATGCTTCCGTTTGGTTTTTAGATGAAGTAATTTCCTTTACTACAGTAGGCCTCAAAGCAGTCCAAATCTCCAATCGCAGATTCTACAAAAAGATTGTTTACAACCTGCTCTATCTATAGGAATGTTCAACTCTGTGAGTCGAATGCAATCATCACAAAGAAGTTTCTGAGAATGCTTCCATCTAGTTTTTATGTGAAGATTTTCCTTTTCCACCACAGGCCTCAAAGCCCTCCAAATGTCCACTTGCAGATTCTAGAATAAGAGGGTTTCAGAGCTGCTCTGTCAAGAGGAAAGTTCAATTCTTGAAGTGGAACACAAACATCACAAAGCAGTTTCTGAGAATGCTTCTGTTTAGTTTTTCTGTGAAGATGAACCCGTTTCCAACGAAATCTTCACAGAGGTCCACATATCCACTTGCAGAATCCAAAGAAAGAGAGTTTCAAAACTGCTCCATCAGCAGGATTGTTCACCTCTGTGAGTTGAATGCAGTCATCACAGGAAACATTCTGAGAATGCTTCTGTCTAGGTTTGATGTGAAGATATACCCGTTTCGAAGGAAGGCCACAAAGTGGTCCAAATATCCACTTGCAGATTCCACAAAAAGAGTGTTTGAAAGCTGAACTATGAAAGCAAGGTTCAACTCTGTGAGTTGAATGCAAACATCACAAAGAAGTTTCTCACAATGCTTCCGTGTAGTTCTGGGAAGTTTATCCCGTTTCCAACGAAATCCTCAGAGAAGTCCAAATATCCACTTGCAGATTCTACAGAAAGTGTGTTTGGAAACTGCGCCATCTAAAGGAATGTTCAGCTCTGTTAGTTCAATGCAATGATCACTAAGAATTGTCTGTGAATGCTTCCGTTTGGTTTTTAGATGAAGTTATTTCCTTTACTACAGTAGGCCTCAAAGCAGTCCAAATCTCCAATCGCAGATTCTACAAAAAGATTGTTTACAACCTGCTCTATCTATAGGAATGTTCAACTCTGTGAGTCGAATGCAATCATCACAAAGTAGTTTCTGAGAATGCTTCCATCTAGTTTTTATGTGAAGATTTTCCTTTTCCACCACAGGCCTCAAAGCCCTCCAAATGTCCACTTGCAGATTCTAGAATAAGAGGGTTGCAGAGCTGCTCTGTCAAGAGGAAAGTTCAATTCCTGAAGTGGAACACAAACATCACAAAGCAGTTTCTGAGAATGCTTCTGTTTAGTTTTTCTGTGAAGATGAACCCGTTTCCAACGAAATCTTCACAGAGGTCCACATATCCACTTGCAGAATCCAAAGAAAGAGAGTTTCAAAACTGCTCCATCAGCAGGATTGTTCACCTCTGTGAGTTGAATGCAGTCATCACAGGAAACATTCTGAGAATGCTTCTGTCTATGTTTGATGTGAAGATATACCCGTTTCGAAGGAAGGCCACAAAGTGGTCCAAATATCCACTTGCAGATTCTACAAAAAGAGTGTTTGAAAGCTGAACTATGAAAGCAAGGTTCAACTCTGTGAGTTGAATGCAAACATCACAAAGAAGTTTCTCAGAATGCTTCCGTGTAGTTCTGGGAAGTTTATCCCGTTTCCAACGAAATCCTCAGAGAAGTCCAAATATCCACTTGCAGATTCTACAGAAAGTGTGTTTGGAAACTGCTCCATCTAAAGGAATGTTCAGCTCTGTTAGTTCAATCCAATGATCACTAAGAATTGTCTGTGAATGCTTCCGTTTGGTTTTTAGATGAAGTTATTTCCTTTACTACAGTAGGCCTCAAAGCAGTCCAAATCTCCAATCGCAGATTCTACAAAAAGATTGTTTACAACCTGCTCTATGTATAGGAATGTTCAACTCTGTGAGTCGAATGCAATCATCACAAAGTAGTTTCTGAGAATGCTTCCATCTAGTTTTTATGTGAAGATTTTCCTTTTCCACCACAGGCCTCAAAGCCCTCCAAATGTCCACTTGCAGATTCTAGAAAAAGAGGGTTTCAGAGCTGCTCTGTCAAGAGGAAAGTTCAATTCTTGAAGAGGAACACAAACATCACAAAGCAGTTTCTGAGAATGCTTCTGTTTAGTTTTTCTGTGAAGATGAACCCGTTTCCAACGAAATCTTTACAGAGGTCCACATATCCACTTGCAGAATCCAAAGAAAGAGAGTTTCAAAACTGCTCCATCAGCAGGATTGTTCACCTCTGTGAGTTGAATGCAGTCATCACAGAAAACATTCTGAGAATGCTTCTGTCTAGGTTTGATGTGAAGATATACCCGTTTTGAAGGAAGGCCACAAAGTGGTCCAAATATCCACTTGCAGATTCTACAAAAAGAGTGTTTGAAAGCTGAACTATGAAAGCAAGGTTTAACTCTGTGAGTTGAATGCAAATATCACAAAGAAGTTTCTCAGAATGCTTCCGTGTAGTTCTGGGAAGTTTATCCCGTTTCCAACGAAATCCTCAGAGAGGTCCAAATATCCACTTGCAGATTCTACAGACAGTGTGTTTGGAAACTGCTCCATCTAAAGGAATGTTCAGCTCTGTTAGTTCAATCCAATGATCACTAAGAATTGTCTGTGAATGCTTCCGTTTGGTTTTTAGATGAAGTTATTTCCTTTACTACAGTAGGCCTCAAAGCAGTCCAAATCTCCAATCGCAGATTCTACAAAAAGATTGTTTTCAACCTGCTCTATCTATAGGAATGTTCAACTCTGTGAGTCGAATGCAAACATCACAAAGTAGTTTCTGAGAATGCTTCCATCTAGTTTTTATGTGAAGATTTTCCTTTTCCACCACAGGCCTCAAAGCCCTCCAAATGTCCACTTGCAGATTCTAGAAAAAGAGGGTTTCAGAGCTGCTCTGTCAAGAGGAAAGTTCAATTCCTGAAGTGGAACACAAACATCACAAAGCAGTTTCTGAGAATGCTTCTGTTTAGTTTTTCTGTGAAGATGAACCCGTTTCCAACGAAATCTTCACAGAGGTCCACATATCCACTTGCAGAATCCAAAGAAAGAGAATTTCAAAACTGCTCCATCAGCAGGATTGTTCACCTCTGTGAGTTGAATGCAGTCATCACAGGAAACATTCTGAGAATGCTTCTGTCTAGGTTTGATGTGAAGATATACCCGTTTCGAAGGAAGGCCACAAAGTGGTCCAAATATCCACTTGCAGATTCTACAAAAAGAGTGTTTGAAAGCTGAACTATGAAAGCAAGGTTCAACTCTGTGAGTTGAATGCAAACATCACAAAGAAGTTTCTCAGAATGCTTCCGTGTAGTTCTGGGAAGTTTATCCCGTTTCCAACGAAATCCTCAGAGAGGTCCAAATATCCACTTGCAGATTCTACAGAAAGTGTGTTTGGAAACTGCTCCATCTAAAGGAATGTTCAGCTCTGTTAGTTCAATCCAATGATCACTAAGAATTGTCTGTGAATGCTTCCGTTTGGTTTTTAGATGAAGTTATTTCCTTTACTACAGTAGGCCTCAAAGCAGTCCAAATCTCCAATCGCAGATTCTACAAAAAGATTGTTTACAACCTGCTCTATGTATAGGAATGTTCAACTCTGTGAGTCGAATGCAATCATCACAAAGTAGTTTCTGAGAATGCTTCCATCTAGTTTTTATGTGAAGATTTTCCTTTTCCACCACAGGCCTCAAAGCCCTCCAAATGTCCACTTGCAGATTCTAGAATAAGAGGGTTTCAGAGCTGCTCTGTGAAGAGGAAATTTCAATTCCTGAAGTGGAACACAAACATCACAAAGCAGTTTCTGAGAATGCTTCTGTTTAGTTTTTCTGTGAAGATGAACCCGTTTCCAACGAAATCTTCACAGAGGTCCACATATCCACTTGCAGAATCCAAAGAAAGAGAGTTTCAAAACTGCTCCATCAGCAGGATTGTTCACCTCTGTGAGTTGAATGCAGTCATCACAGGAAACATTCTGAGAATGCTTCTGTCTAGGTTTGATGTGAAGATATACCCGTTTGGAAGGAAGGCCAAATGTGGTCCAAATATCCACTTGCAGATTCTATAAAAAGAGTGTTTGAAAGCTGAACTATGAAAGCAAGGTTCAACACTGTGAGTTGAATGCAAACATCACAAAGATATTTCTCACAATTCTTCCGTGTAGTTCTGGGAAGTTTATCCCGTTTCCAACGAAATCCTCAGAGAAGTCCAAATATCCACTTGCAGATTCTACAGAAAGTGGGTTTGGAAAATGCTCCATCTAAAGGAATGTTCAGCTCTGTTAGTTCAATGCAATGATCACTAAGAATTGTCTGTGAATGCTTCCGTTTGGTTTTTAGATGAAGTTATTTCCTTTACTACAGTAGGCCTCAAAGCAGTCCAAATCTCCAATCGCAGATTCTACAAAAAGATTGTTTACAACCTGCTCTATCTATAGGAATGTTCAACTCTGTGAGTCGAATGCAATCATCACAAAGTAGTTTCTGAGAATGCTTCCATCTAGTTTTTATGTGAAGATTTTCCTTTTGCACCACAGGCCTCAAAGCCCTCCAAATGTCCACTTGCAGATTCTAGAAAAAGAGGGTTTCAGAGCTGCTCTGTCAAGAGGAAAGTTCAATTCTTGAAGTGGAACACAAACATCACAAAGCAGTTTCTGAGAATGCTCCTGTTTAGTTTTTCTGTGAAGATGAACCCGTTTCCAACGAAATCTTCACAGAGGTCCACATATCCACTTGTAGAATCCAAAGAAAGAGAGTTTCAAAACTGCTCCATCAGCAGGATTGTTCACCTCTGTGAGTTGAATGCAGTCATCACAGGAAACATTCTGAGAATGCTTCTGTCTAGGTTTGATGTGAAGATATACCCGTTTCGAAGGAAGGCCACAAAATGGTCCAAATATCCACTTGCAGATTCTACAAAAAGAGTGATTGAAAGCTGAACTATGAAAGCAAGGTTCAACTCTGTGAGTTGAATGCAAACATCACAAAGAAGTTTCTCACAATGCTTCCGTGTAGTTCTGGGAAGTATATCCCGTTTCCAACGAAATCCTCAGAGAAGTCCAAATATCCACTTGCAGATTCTACAGAAAGTGGGTTTGGAAACTGCTCCATCTAAAGGAATGTTCAGCTCTGTTAGTTCAATGCAATGATCACTAAGAATTGTCTGTGAATGCTTCCGTTTGGTTTTTAGATGAAGTTATTTCCTTTACTACAGTAGGCCTCAAAGCAGTCCAAATCTCCAATCGCAGATTCTACAAAAAGATTGTTTACAACCTGCTCTATCTATAGGAATGTTCAACTCTGTGAGTCGAATGCAATCATCACAAAGTAGTTTCTGAGAATGCTTCCATCTAGTTTTTATGTGAAGATTTTCCTTTTCCACCACAGGCCTCAAAGTCCTCCAAATGTCCACTTGCAGATTCTAGAAAAAGAGGGTTTCAGAGCTGCTCTGTCAAGAGGAAAGTTCAATTCTTGAAGTGGAACACAAACATCACAAAGCAGTTTCTGAGAATGCTTCTGTTTAGTTTTTCTGTGAAGATGAACCCGTTTCCAACGAAATCTTCACAGAGGTCCACATATCAACTTGCAGAATCCAAAGAAAGAGAGTTTCAAAACTGCTCCATCAACAGGATTGTTCACCTCTGTGAGTTGAATGCAGTCATCACAGGAAACATTCTGAGAATTCTTCTGTCTAGGTTTGATGTGAAGATATACCCGTTTCGAAGGAAGGCCACAAAGTGGTCCAAATATCCACTTGCAGATTCTACAAAAAGAGTGTTTGAAAGCTGAACTATGAAAGCAAGGTTCAACTCTGTGAGTTGAATGCAAACATCACAAAGAAGTTTCTCAGAATGCTTCCGTGTAGTTCTGGGAAGTTTATCCCGTTTCCAACGAAATCCTCAGAGAGGTCCAAATATCCACTTGCAGATTCTACAGAAAGTGTGTTTGGAAACTGCGCCATCTAAAGGAATGTTCAGCTCTGTTAGTTCAATGCAATGATCACTAAGAATTGTCTGTGAATGCTTCCGTTTGGTTTTTAGATGAAGTTATTTCCTTTACTACAGTAGGCCTCAAAGCAGTCCAAATCTCCAATCGCAGATTCTACAAAAAGATTGTTTACAACCTGCTCTATCTATAGGAATGTTCAACTCTGTGAGTCGAATGCAATCATAACAAAGTAGTTTCTGAGAATGCTTCCATCTAGTTTTTATGTGAAGATTTTCCTTTTCCACCACAGGCCTCAAAGCCCTCCAAATGTCCACTTGCAGATTCTAGAAAAAGAGGGTTTCAGAGCTGCTCTGTCGAGAGGAAAGTTCAATTCTTGAAGTGGAACACAAACATCACAAAGCAGTTTCTGAGAATGCTCCTGTTTAGTTTTTCTGTGAAGATGAACCCGTTTCCAACGAAATCTTCACAGAGGTCCACATATCCACTTGCAGAATCCAAAGAAAGAGAGTTTCAAAACTGCTCCATCAGCAGGATTGTTCACCTCTGTGAGTTGAATGCAGTCATCACAGGAAACATTCTGAGAATGCTTCTGTCTAGGTTTGATGTGAAGATATACCCGTTTCGAAGGAAGGCCACAAAGTGGTCCAAATATCCACTTGCAGATTCTACAAAAAGAGTGTTTGAAAGCTGAACTATGAAAGCAAGGTTCAACTCTGTGAGTTGAATGCAAACATCACAAAGAAGTTTCTCACAATGCTTC
Source organism: Homo sapiens (assembly GCF_000001405.40). Lineage (NCBI taxonomy): Eukaryota > Metazoa > Chordata > Mammalia > Primates > Hominidae > Homo > Homo sapiens. Next base: position 52,355,997 of record NC_000011.10, on the reverse strand, counting down.
CGTGTAGTTCTGGGAAGTTTATCCCGTTTCCAACGAAATCCACAGAGAGGTCCAAATATCCACTTGCAGATTCTACAGAAAGTGGGTTTGGAAACTGCGCCATCTAAAGCAATGTTCAGCTCTGTTAGTTCAATGCAATGATCACTAAGAATTGTCTGTGAATGCTTCCGTTTGGTTTTTAGATGAAGTTATTTCCTTTACTACAGTAGGCCTCAAAGCAGTCCAAATCTCCAATCGCAGATTCTACAAAAAGATTGTTTACAACCTGCTCTACCTATAGGAATGTTCAACTCTGTGAGTCGAATGCAATCATCACAAAGTACTTTCTGAGAATGCTTCCATCTAGTTTTTATGTGAAGATTTTCCTTTTCCACCACAGGCCTCAAAGCCCTCCAAATGTCCACTTGCAGATTCTAGAAAAAGAGGGTTTCAGAGCTGCTCTGTCAAGAGGAAAGTTCAATTCTTGAAGTGGAACACAAACATCACAAAGTAGTTTCTGAGAATGCTCCTGTTTAGTTTTTCTGTGAAGATGAACCCGTTTCCAACGAAATCTTCACAGAGGTCCACATATCCACTTGCAGAATCCAAAGAAAGAGAGTTTCAAAACTGCTCCATCAGCAGGATTGTTCACCTCTGTGAGTTGAATGCAGTCATCACAGGAAACATTCTGAGAATGCTTCTGTCTAGGTTTGATGTGAAGATATACCCGTTTCGAAGGAAGGCCACAAAGTGGTCCAAATATCCACTTGCAGATTCTACAAAAAGAGTGTTTGAAAGCTGAACTATGAAAGCAAGGTTCAACTCTGTGAGTTGAATGCAAACATCACAAAGAAGTTTCTCAGAATGCTTCCGTGTAGTTCTGGGAAGTTTATCCCGTTTCCAACGAAATCCTCAGAGAGGTCCAAATATCCACTTGCAGATTCTACAGAAAGTGTGTTTGGAAACTGCTCCATCTAAAGGAATGTTCAGCTCTGTTAGTTCAATCCAATGATCACTAAGAATTGTCTGTGAATGCTTCCGTTTGGTTTTTAGATGAAGTTATTTCCTTTACTACAGTAGGCCTCAAAGCAGTCCAAATCTCCAATCGCAGATTCTACAAAAAGATTGTTTACAACCTGCTCTATGTATAGGAATGTTCAACTCTGTGAGTCGAATGCAATCATCACAAAGTAGTTTCTGAGAATGCTTCCATCTAGTTTTTATGGGAAGATTTTCCTTTTCCACCACAGGCCTCAAAGCCCTCCAAATGTCCACTTGCAGATTCTAGAAAAAGAGGGTTTCAGAGCTGCTCTGTCAAGAGGAAAGTTCAATTCTTGAAGTGGAACACAAACATCACAAAGCAGTTTCTGAGAATGCTTCTGTTTAGTTTTTCTGTTAAGATGAACCCGTTTCCAACGAAATCTTCACAGAGGTCCACATATCCACTTGCAGAATCCAAAGAAAGAGAGTTTCAAAACTGCTCCATCAGCAGGATTGTTCACCTCTGTGAGTTGAATGCAGTCATCACAGGATACATTCTGAGAATGCTTCTGTCTAGGTTTGATGTGAAGATATACCCGTTTCGAAGGAAGGCCACAAAGTGGTCCAAATATCCACTTGCAGATTCTACAAAAAGAGTGTTTGAAAGCTGAACTATGAAAGCAAGGTTCAACTCTGTGAGTTGAATGCAAACATCACAAAGAAGTTTCTCACAATGCTTCCGTGTAGTTCTGGGAAGTTTATCCCGTTTCCAACGAAATCCTCAGAGAAGTCCAAATATCCACTTGCAGATTCTACAGAAAGTGTGTTTGGAAACTGCTCCATCTAAAGGAATGTTCAGCTCTGTTAGTTCAATCCAATGATCACTAAGAATTGTCTGTGAATGCTTCCGTTTGGTTTTTAGATGAAGTTATTTCCTTTACTACAGTAGGCCTCAAAGCAGTCCAAATCTCCAATCGCAGATTCTACAAAAAGATTGTTTACAACCTGCTCTATGTATAGGAATGTTCAACTCTGTGAGTCGAATGCAATCATCACAAAGTAGTTTCTGAGAATGCTTCCATCTAGTTTTTATGTGAAGATTTTCCTTTTCCACCACAGGCCTCAAAGCCCTCCAAATGTCCACTTGCAGATTCTAGAATAAGAGGGTTTCAGAGCTGCTCTGTCAAGAGGAAAGTTCAATTCTTGAAGTGGAACACAAACATCACAAAGCAGTTTCTGAGAATGCTTCTGTTTAGTTTTTCTGTGAAGATGAACCCGTTTCCAACGAAATCTTCACAGAGGTCCACATATCCACTTGCAGAATCCAAAGAAAGGGAGTTTCAAAACTGCTCCATCAGCAGGATTGTTCACCTCTGTGAGTTGAATGCAGTCATCACAGGAAACATTCTGAGAATGCTTCTGTCTAGGTTTGATGTGAAGATATACCCGTTTCGAAGGAAGGCCACAAAGTGGTCCAAATATCCACTTGCAGATTCTACAAAAAGAGTGTTTGAAAGCTGAACTATGAAAGCAAGGTTCAACTCTGTGAGTTGAATGCAAACATCACAAAGAAGTTTCTCACAATGCTTCCGTGTAGTTCTGGGAAGTTTATCCCGTTTCCAACGAAATCCTCAGAGAAGTCCAAATATCCACTTGCAGATTCTACAGAAAGTGTGTTTGGAAACTGCTCCATCTAAAGGAATGTTCAGCTCTGTTAGTTCAATGCAATGATCACTAAGAATTGTCTGTGAATGCTTCCGTTTGGTTTTTAGATGAAGTTATTTCCTTTACTACAGTAGGCCTCAAAGCAGTCCAAATCTCCAATCGCAGATTCTACAAAAAGATTGTTTACAACCTGCTCTATCTATAGGAATGTTCAACTCTGTGAGTCGAATGCAATCATCACAAAGTAGTTTCTGAGAATGCTTCCATCTAGTTTTTATGTGAAGATTTTCCTTTTCCACCACAGGCCTCAAAGCCCTCCAAATGTCCACTTGCAGATTCTAGAATAAGAGGGTTTCAGAGCTGCTCTGTCAAGAGGAAAGTTCAATTCCTGAAGTGGAACACAAACATCACAAAGCAGTTTCTGAGAATGTTTCTGTTTAGTTTTTCTGTGAAGATGAACCCGTTTCCAACGAAATCTTCACAGAGGTCCACATATCCACTTGCAGAATCCAAAGAAAGAGAGTTTCAAAACTGCTCCATCAGCAGGATTGTTCACCTCTGTGAGTTGAATGCAGTCATCACAGGAAACATTCTGAGAATGCTTCTGTCTAGGTTTGATGTGAAGATATACCCGTTTCGAAGGAAGGCCACAAAGTGGTCCAAATATCCACTTGCAGATTCTACAAAAAGAGTGTTTGAAAGCTGAACTATGAAAGCAAGGTTCAACTCTGTGAGTTGAATGCAAACATCACAAAGAAGTTTCTCACAATGCTTCCCTGTAGTTCTGGGAAGTTTATCCCGTTTCCAACGAAATCCTCAGAGAAGTCCAAATATCCACTTGCAGATTCTACAGAAAGTGTGTTTGGAAACTGCTCCATCTAAAGGAATGTTCAGCTCTGTTAATTCAATGCAATGATCACTAAGAATTGTCTGTGAATGCTTCCGTTTGGTTTTTAGATGAAGTTATTTCCTTTACTACAGTAGGCCTCAAAGCAGTCCAAATCTCCAATCGCAGATTCTACAAAAACATTGTTTACAACCTGCTCTATCTATAGGAATGTTCAACTCTGTGAGTCGAATGCAATCATCACAAAGTAGTTTCTGAGAATGCTTCCATCTAGTTTTTATGTGAAGATTTTCCTTTTCCACCACAGGCCTCAAAGCCCTCCAAATGTCCACTTGCAGATTCTAGAAAAAGAGGGTTTCAGAGCTGCTCTGTCAAGAGGAAAGTTCAATTCTTGAAGTGGAACACAAACATCACAAAGCAGTTTCTGAGAATGCTTCTGTTTAGTTTTTCTGTGAAGATGAACCCGTTTCCAACGAAATCTTCACAGAGGTCCACATATCAACTTGCAGAATCCAAAGAAAGAGAGTTTCAAAACTGCTCCATCAACAGGATTGTTCACCTCTGTGAGTTGAATGCAGTCATCACAGGAAACATTCTGAGAATGCTTCTGTCTAGGTTTGATGTGAAGATATACCCGTTTCGAAGGAAGGCCACAAAGTGGTCCAAATATCCTCTTGCAGATTCTACAAAAAGAGTGTTTGAAAGCTGAACTATGAAAGCAAGGTTCAACTCTGTGAGTTGAATGCAAACATCACAAAGAAGTTTCTCAGAATGCTTCCCTGTAGTTCTGGGAAGCATATCCCGTTTCCAACGAAATCCTCAGAGAAGTCCAAATATCCACTTGCAGATTCTACAGAAAGTGGGTCTGGAAACTGCTCCATCTAAAGGAATGTTCAGCTCTGTTAGTTCAATCCAATGATCACGAAGAATTGTCTGCGAATCCTTCCGTTTGGTTTTTAGATGAAGTTATTTCCTTTACTACAGTAGGCCTCAAAGCAGTCCAAATCTCCAATCGCAGATTCTACAAAAAGATTGTTTACAACCTGCTCTATCTATAGGAATGTTCAACTCTGTGAGTCGAATGCAATCATCACAAAGTAGTTTCTGAGAATGCTTCCATCTAGTTTTTATGTGAAGATTTTCCTTTTCCACCACAGGCCTCAAAGCCCTCCAAATGTCCACTTGCAGATTCTAGAATAAGAGGGTTGCAGAGCTGCTCTGTCAAGAGGAAGTTCAATTCCTGAAGTGGAACACAAACATCACAAAGCAGTTTCCGAGAATGCTTCTGTTTAGTTTTTCTGTGAAGATGAACCCGTTTCCAACGAAATCTTCACAGAGGTCCACATATCCACTTGCAGAATCCAAAGAAAGAGAGTTTCAAAACTGCTCCATCAGCAGGATTGTTCACCTCTGTGAGTTGAATGCAGTCATCACAGGAAACATTCTGAGAATGCTTCTGTCTAGGTTTGATGTGAAGATATACCCGTTTCGAAGGAAGGCCACAAAGTGGTCCAAATATCCACTTGCAGATTCTACAAAAAGAGTGTTTGAAAGCTGAACTATGAAAGCAAGGTTCAACTCTGTGAGTTGAATGCAAACATCACAAAGAAGTTTCTCAGCATGCTTCCGTGTAGTTCTGGGAAGTTTATCCCGTTTCCAACGAAATCCTCAGAGAGGTCCAAATATCCACTTGCAGATTCTACAGAAAGTGGGTTTGGAAACTGCGCCATCTAAAGCAATGTTCAGCTCTGTTAGTTCAATGCAATGATCACTAAGAATTGTCTGTGAATGCTTCCGTTTGGTTTTTAGATGAAGTTATTTCCTTTACTACAGTAGGCCTCAAAGCAGTCCAAATCTCCAATCGCAGATTCTACAAAAAGATTGTTTACAACCTGCTCTATCTATAGGAAATGTTCAACTCTGTGAGTCGAATGCAATCATCACAAAGTAGTTTCTGAGAATGCTTCCATCTAGTTTTTATGTGAAGATTTTCCTTTTCCACCACAGGCATCAAAGCCCTCCAAATGTCCACTTGCAGATTCTAGAAAAAGAGGGTTTCAGAGCTGCTCTGTCAAGAGGAAAGTTCAATTCTTGAAGTGGAACACAAACATCACAAAGCAGTTTCTGAGAATGCTCCTGTTTAGTTTTCCTGTGAAGATGAACCCGTTTCCAACGAAATCTTCACAGAGGTCCACATATCCACTTGCAGAATCCAAAGAAAAAGAGTTTCAAAACTTCTCCATCAACAGGATTGTTCACCTCTATGAGTTGAATGCAGTCATCACAGGAAACATTCTGAGAATGCTTCTGTCTAGGTTTGCTGTGAAGATATACCCGTTTCGAAGGAAGGCCACAAAGTGGTCCAAATATCCACTTGCAGATTCTACAAAAAGAGTGTTTGAAAGCTGAACTATGAAAGCAAGGTTCAACTCTGTGAGTTGAATGCAAACATCCAAAGAAGTTTCTCAGAATGCTTCCCGTGTAGTTCTGGGAATTTTATCCCGTTTCCAACGAAATCCTCAGAGAGGTCCAAATATCCACTTGCAGATTCTACAGAAAGTGTGTTTGGAAACTGCGCCATCTAAAGGAATGTTCAGCTCTGTTAGTTCAATGCAATGATCACTAAGAATTGTCTGTGAATGCTTCCGTTTGGTTTTTAGATGAAGTTATTTCCTTTACTAGAGTAGGCCTCAAAGCAGTCCAAATCTCCAATCGCAGATTCTACAAAAAGATTGTTTACAACCTGCTCTATCTATGGGAATGTTCAACTCTGTGAGTCGAATGCAATCATCCCAAAGTAGTTTCTGAGAATGCTTCCATCTAGTTTTTATGTGAAGATTTTCCTTTTCCACCACAGGCCTCAAAGCCCTCCAAATGTCCACTTGCAGATTCTAGAAAAAGAGGGTTTCAGAGCTGCTCTGTCAAGAGGAAAGTTCAATTCTTGAAGTGGAACACAAACATCACAAAGCAGTTTCTGAGAATGCTCCTGTTTAGTTTTTCTGTGAAGATGAACCCGTTTCCAACGAAATCTTCACAGAGGTCCACATATCCACTTGCAGAATCCAAAGAAAGAGAGTTTCAAAACTGCTCCATCAGCAGGATTGTTCACCTCTGTGAGTTGAATGCAGTCATCAAAGGAAACATTCTGAGAATGCTTCTGTCTAGGTTTGATGTGAAGATATACCCGTTTCGAAGGAAGGCCACAAAGTGGTCCAAATATCCACTTGCAGATTCTACAAAAAGAGTGTTTGAAAGCTGAACTATGAAAGCAAGGTTCAACTCTGTGAGTTGAATGCAAACATCACAAAGAAGTTTCTCACAATGCTTCCCTGTAGTTCTGGGAAGTTTATCCCGTTTCCAACAAAATCCTCAGAGAAGTCCAAATATCCACTTGCAGATTCTACAGAAAGTGGGTTTGGAAACTGCTCCATCTAAAGGAATGTTCAGCTCTGTTAGTTCAATCCAATGATCACTAAGAATTGTCTGTGAATGCTTCCGTTTGGTTTTTAGATGAAGTTATTTCCTTTACTACAGTAGGCCTCAAAGCAGTCCAAATCTCCAATCGCAGATTCTACAAAAAGATTGTTTACAACCTGCTCTATCTATAGGAATGTTCAACTCTGTGAGTCGAAAGCCATCATCACAAAGTAGTTTCTGAGAATGCTTCCATCTAGTTTTTATGTGAAGATTTTCCTTTTCCACCACAGGCCTCAAAGCCCTCCAAATGTCCACTTGCAGATTCTAGAAAAAGAGGGTTTCAGAGCTGCTCTGTCAAGAGGAAAGTTCAATTCTTGAAGTGGAACACAAACATCACAAAGTAGTTTCTGAGAATGCTTCTGTTTAGTTTTTCTGTGACGATGAACCCGTTTCCAACGAAATCTTCACAGAGGTCCACATATCCACTTGCAGAATCCAAAGAAAGAGAGTTTCAAAACTGCTCCATCAGCAGGATTGTTCACCTCTGTGAGTTGAATGCAGTCATCACAGGAAACATTCTGAGAATGCTTCTGTCTAGGTTTGATGTGAAGATATACCCGTTTCGAAGGAAGGCCACAAAGTGGTCCAAATATCCACTTGCAGATTCTACAAAAAGAGTGTTTGAAAGCTGAACTATGAAAGCAAGGTTCAACTCTGTGAGTTGAATGCAAACATGACAAAGAAGTTTCTCAGAATGCTTCCGTGTAGTTCTGGGAAGTTTAGCCCGTTTCCAACGATATCCTCAGAAAGGTCCAAATATCCACTTGCAGATGCTACAGAAAGTGTGTTTGGAAACTGCGCCATCTAAGGGAACGTTCAGCTCTGTTAGTTCAATCCAATGATCACGAAGAATTGTCTGTGAATGCTTCCGTTTGGTTTTTAGATGAAGTTATTTCCTTTACTACAGTAGGCCTCAAAGCAGTCCAAATCTCCAATCGCAGATTCTACAAAAAGATTGTTTACAACCTGCTCTATCTATAGGAATGTTCAACTCTGTGAGTCGAATGCAATCATCACAAAGGAGTTTCTGAGAATGCTTCCATCTAGTTTTTATGTGAAGATTTTCCTTTTCCACCACAGGCCTCAAAGCCCTCCAAATGTCCACTTGCAGATTCTAGAATAAGAGGGTTTCAGAGCTGCTCTGTCAAGAGGAAAGTTCAATTCTTGAAGTGGAACACAAACATCACAAAGCAGTTTCTGAGAATGCTCCTGTTTAGTTTTTCTGTGAAGATGAACCCGTTTCCAACGAAATCTTCAAAGAGGTCCACATATCCACTTGCAGAATCCAAAGAAAGAGAGTTTCAAAACTGCTCCATCAGCAGGATTGTTCACCTCTGTGAGTTGAATGCAGTCATCACAGGAAACATTCTGAGAATGCTTCTGTCTAGGTTTGATGTGAAGATATACCCGTTTCGAAGGAAGGCCACAAAGTGGTCCAAATATCCACTTTCTGTAGATTCTACAAAAAGAGTGTTTGAAAGCTGAACTATGAAAGCAAGGTTCAACTCTGTGAGTTGAATGCAAACATCACAAAGAAGTTTCTCAGAATGCTTCCGTGTAGTTCTGGGAAGTTTATCCCGTTTCCAACGAAATCCTCAGAGAAGTCCAAATATCCACTTGAATATTCTACAGAAAGTGGGTTTGGAAACTGCTCCATCTAAAGGAATGTTCAGCTCTGTTAGTTCAATCCAATGATCACTAAGAATTTTCTGTGAATGCTTCCGTTTGGTTTTTAGATGAAGTTATTTCCTTTACTACAGTAGGCCTCAAAGCAGTCCAAATCTCCAATCGCAGATTCTACAAAAAGATTGTTTACAACCTGCTCTATCTATAGGAATGTTCAACTCTGTGAGTCGAATGCAATCATCACAAAGTAGTTTCTGAGAATGCTTCCATCTAGTTTTTATGTGAAGATTATCCTTTTCAACCACAGGCCTCAAAGCCCTCCAAATGTCCACTTGCAGATTCTAGAATAAGAGGGCTTCAGAGCTGCTCTGTCAAGAAGAAAGTTCAATTCCTGAAGTGGAACAAAAACATCACAAAGCAGTTTCTGAGAATGCTTCTGTTTAGTTTTTCTGTGAAAATGAACCCGTTTCCAACGAAATCTTCACAGAGGTCCACATATCCACTTGCAGAATCCAAAGAAAGAGAGATTCAAAACTGCTCCATCAACAGGATTGTTCACCTCTGTGAGTTGAATGCAGTCATCACAGGAAACATTCTGAGAATGCTTCTGTCTAGGTATGATGTGAAGATATACCCGTTTCGAAGGAAGGCCACAAAGTGGTCCAAATATCCACTTGCAGATTCTACAAAAAGAGTGTTTGAAAGCTGAACTATGAAAGCAAGGTTCAACTCTGTGAGTTGAATGCAAACATCACAAAGAAGTTTCTCAGAATGCTTCCGTGTAGTTCTGGGAAGTTTAGCCCGTTTCCAACGAAATCCTCACAGAGGTCCAAATATCCACTTGCAGATTCTACAGAAAGTGTGTTTGGAAACTGCTCCATCTAAAGGAATGTTCAGCTCTGTTAGTTCAATGCAATGATCACTAAGAATTGTCTGTGAATGCTTCCGTTTGGTTTTTAGATGAAGTTATTTCCTTTACTACAGTAGGCCTCAAAGCAGTCCAAATCTCCAATCGCAGATTCTACACAAAGATTGTTTACAACCTGCTCTATCTATACGAATGTTCAACTCTGTGAGTCGAATGCAATCATCACAGAGTAGTTTCTGAGAATGCTTCCATCTAGTTTTTATGTGAAGATTTTCCTTTTCCACCACAGGCCTCAAAGCCCTCCAAATGTCCACTTGCAGATTCTAGAAAAAGAGGGTTTCAGAGCTGCTCTGTCAAGAGGAAAGTTCAATTCTTGAAGTGGAACAGAAACATCACAAAGCAGTTTCTGGGAATGCTTCTGTTTAGTTTTTCTGTGAAGATGAACCCGTTTCCAAAGAAAATCTTCGCAGAGGTCCACATATCCACTTGCAGAATCCAAAGAAAGAGAGTTTCAAAACTGCTCCATCAGCAGGATTGTTCACCTCTGGGAGTTGAATGCAGTCATCACAGGAAACATTCTGAGAATGCTTCTGTCTAGGTTTGATGTGAAGATATACCTGTTTCGAAGGAAGGCCACAAAGTGGTCCAAATATCCACTTGCAGATTCTACAAAAAGAGTGTTTGAAAGCTGAACTATGAAAGCAAGGTTCAACTCTGTGAGTTGAATGCAAACATCACAAAGAAGTTTCTCACAATGCTTCCGTGTAGTTCTGGGAAGTTTATCCCGTTTCCAACGAAATCCTCAGAGAGGTCCAAATATCCACTTGCAGATTCTACAGAAAGTGTGTTTGGAAACTGCGCCATCTAAAGGAATGTTCAGCTCTGTTTGTTCAATCCAATGATCACTAAGAATTGTCTGTGAATGCTTCCGTTTGGTTTTTAGATGAAGTTATTTCCTTTACTACAGTAGGCCTCAAAGCAGTCCAAATCTCCAATCGCAGATTCTACAAAAAGATTGTTTACAACCTGCTCTATCTATAGGAATGTTCAACTCTGTGAGTCGAATGCAATCATCACAAAGTAGTTTCTGAGAATGCTTCCATCTAGTTTTTATGTGAAGATTTTCCTTTTCCACCACAGGCCTCAAAGCCCTCCAAATGTCCACTTGCAGATTCTAGAAAAAGAGGGTTTCAGAGCTGCTCTGTCAAGAGGAAAGTTCAATTCCTGAAGTGGAACGCAAACATCACAAAGCAGTTTCTGAGAATGCTTCTGTTTAGTTTTTCTGTGAAGATGAACCCGTTTCCAACGAAATCTTCACAGAGGTCCACATATCCACTTGCAGAATCCAAAGAAAGAGAGTTTCAAAACTGCTCCATCAGCAGGATTGTTCACCTCTGTGAGTTGAATGCAGTCATCACAGGAAACATTCTGAGAATGCTTCTGTCTAGGTTTGATGTGAAGATATACCCGTTTCGAAGGAAGGCCACAAAGTGGTCCAAATATCCACTTGCAGATTCTACAAAAAGAGTGTTTGAAAGCTGAACTATGAAAGCAAGGTTCAACTCTGTGAGTTGAATGCAAACATCACAAAGAAGTTTCTCACAATGCTTCCGTGTAGTTCTGAGAAGTTTTTCCCGTTTCCAACGAAATCCTCAGAGAAGTCCAAATATCCACTTGCAGATTCTACAGAAAGTTGGTTTGGAAACTGCTCCATCTAAAGGAATGTTCAGCTCTGTTAGTTCAATGCAATGATCACTAAGAATTGTCTGTGAATGCTTCCGTTTGGTTTTTAGATGAAGTTATTTCCTTTACTACAGTAGGCCTCAAAGCAGTCCAAATCTCCAATCGCAGATTCTACAAAAAGATTGTTTCCAACCTGCTCTATCTATAGGAATGTTCAACTCTGTGAGTCGAATGCAATCATCACAAAGTAGTTTCTGAGAATGCTTCCATCTAGTTTTTATGTGAAGATTTTCCTTTTCCACCACAGGCCTCAAAGCCCTCCAAATGTCCACTTGCAGATTCTAGAATAAGAGGGTTTCAGAGCTGCTCTGTCAAGAGGAAAGTTCAATTCCTGAAGTGGAACACAAACATCACAAAGCAGTTTCTGAGAATGCTTCTGTTTAGTTTTTCTGTGAAGATGAACCCGTTTCCAACGAAATCTTCACAGAGGTCCACATATCCACTTGCAGAATCCAAAGAAAGAGAGTTTCAAAACTGCTCCATCAGCAGGATTGTTCACCTCTGTGAGTTGAATGCAGTCATCACAGGAAACATTCTGAGAATGCTTCTGTCTCGGTTTGATGTGAAGATATACCCGTTTCGAAGGAAGGCCACAAAGTGGTCCAAATATCCACTTGCAGATTCTACAAAAAGAGTGTTTGAAAGCTGAACTATGAAAGAAAGGTTCAACTCTGTGAGTTGAATGCAAACATCACAAAGAAGTTTCTCACAATGCTTCCGTGTAGTTCTGGGAAGTTTATCCCGTTTCCAACGAAATCCTCAGAGAGCTCCAAATATCCACTTGCAGATTCTACAGAAAGTGTGTTTGGAAACTGCGCCATCTAAAGGAATGTTCAGCTCTGTTTGTTCAATCCAATGATCACTAAGAATTGTCTGTGAATGCTTCCGTTTGGTTTTTAGATGAAGTTATTTCCTTTACTACAGTAGGCCTCAAAGCAGTCCAAATCTCCAATCTCAGATTCTACAAAAAGATTGTTTACAACCTGCTCTATCTATAGGAATGTTCAACTCTGTGAGTCGAATGCAATCATCACAAAGTAGTTTCTGAGAATGCTTCCATCTAGTATTTATGTGAAGATTTTCCTTTTCCACCGCAGGCCTCAAAGCCCTCCAAATGTCCACTGGCAGATTCTAGAATAAGAGGGTTTCAGAGCTGCTCTATCAAGAGGAAAGTTCAATTCCTGAAGTGGAACACAAACATCACAAAGCAGTTTCTGAGAATGCTCCTGTTTAGTTTTTCTGTGAAGATGAACCCGTTTCCAACGAAATCTTCACAGAGGTCCACATATCCACTTGCAGAATCCAAAGAAAGAGAGTTTCAAAACTGCTCCATCAGCAGGATTGTTCACCTCTGTGAGTTGAATGCAGTCATCACAGGAAACATTCTGAGAATGCTTCTGTCTAGGTTTGATGTGAAGATATACCCGTTTCGAAGGAAGGCCACAAAGTGGTCCAAATATCCACTTGCAGATTCTACAAAAAGAGTGTTTGAAAGCTGAACTATGAAAGCAACGTTCAACTCTGTGAGTTGAATGCAAACATCACAAAGAAGTTTCTCACAATGCTTCCCTGTAGTTCTGGGAAGTTTATCCCGTTTCCAACGAAATCCTCAGAGAAGTCCACATATCCACTTGCAGATTCTACAGAAAGTGTGTTTGGAAACTGCGCCATCTAAAGGAATGTTCAGCTCTGTTAGTTCAATCCAATGATCACTAAGAATTGTCTGTGAATGCTTCCGTTGGGTTTTTAGATGAAGTTATTTCCTTTACTACAGTAGGCCTCAAAGCAGTCCAAATCTCCAATCGCAGATTCTACAAAAAGATTGTTTACAACCTGCTCTATCTATAGGAATGTTCAACTCTGTGAGTCGAATGCAATCATCACAAAGGAGTTTCTGAGAATGCTTCCATCTAGTTTTTATGTGAAGAGTTTCCTTTTCCACCACAGGCCTCAAAGCCCTCCAAATGTCCACTTGCAGATTCTAGAAAAAGAGGGTTTCAGAGCTGCTCTGTCAAGAGGAAAGTTCAATTGTTGAAGTGGAACACAAACATCACAAAGCAGTTTCTGAGAATGCTCCTGTTTAGTTTTTCTGTGAAGATGAACCCGTTTCCAACGAAATCTTCACAGAGGTCCACATATCCACTTGCAGAATCCAAAGAAAGAGAGTTTCAAAACTGCTCCATCAGCAGGATTGTTCACCTCTGTGAGTTGAATGCAGTCATCACAGGAAACATTCTGAGAATGCTTCTGTCTAGGTTTGATGTGAAGATATACCCGTTTCGAAGGAAGGCCACAAAGTGGTCCAAATATCCACTTGCAGATTCTACAAAAAGAGTGTTTGAAAGCTGAACAATGAAAGCAGGGTTCAACTCTGTGAGTTGAATGCAAACATCCAAAGAAGTTTCTCAGAATGCTTCCGTGTAGTTCTGGGAAGTTTATCCCGTTTCCAACGAAATCCTCAGAGAGGTCCAAATATCCACTTGCAGATTCTACAGAAAGTGTGTTTGGAAACTGCTCCATCTAAAGGAATGTTCAGCTCTGTTAGTTCAATCCAATGATCACTAAGAATTGTCTGTGAATGCTTCCGTTTGGTTTTTAGATGAAGTTATTTCCTTTACTACAGTAGGCCTCAAAGCAGTCCAAATCTCCAATCACAGATCCTACAAAAAGATTGTTTACAACCTGCTCTATCTATAGGAATGTTCAACTCTGTGAGTCGAATGCAATCATCACAAAGTAGTTTCTGAGAATGCTTTCATCTAGTTTTTATGTGAAGATTTTCCTTTTCCACCACAGGCCTCAAAGCCCTCCAAATGTCCACTTGCAGATTCTAGAAAAAGAGGGTTTCAGAGCTGCTCTGTCAAGAGGAAAGTTCAATTCTTGAAGTGGAACACAAACATCACAAAGCAGTTTCTGAGAATGCTCCTGTTTAGTTTTTCTGTGAAGATGAACCCGTTTACAACGAAATCTTCCCAGAGGTCCACGTATCCACTTGCAGAATCCAAAGAAAGAGAGATTCAAAACTGCTCCATCAACAGGATTGTTCACCTCTGTGAGTTGAATGCAGTCATCACAGGAAACATTCTGAGAATGCTCCTGTTTAGTTTTTCTGTGAAGATGAACCCGTTTCGAAGGAAGGCCCCAAAGTGGTCCAAATATCCACTTGCAGATCCTACAAAAAGAGTGTTTGAAAGCTGAACTTTGAAAGCAAGGTTCAACTCTGTGAGTTGAATGCAAACATCACAAAGAAGTTTCTCAGAATGCTTCCGTGTAGTTCTGGGAATTTTAGCCCTTTTCCAACGAAATCCTCAGAGAGGTCCAAATATCCACTTGCAGATTCTACAGAAAGTGTGTTTGGAAACTGTGCCATCTAAAGGAATGTTCAGCTCTGTTAGTTCAATCCAATGATCACTAAGAATTTTCTGTGAATGCTTCCGTTTGGTTTTTAGATGAAGTTATTTCCTTTACTACAGTAGGCCTCAAAGCAGTCCAAATCTCCAATCGCAGATTCTACAAAAACATTGTTTACAACCTGCTCTATCTATAGGAATGTTCAACTCTGTGAGTCGAATGCAATCATCACAAAGTAGTTTCTGAGAATGCTTCCATCTAGTTTTTATGTGAAGATTTTCGTTTTCCACCACAGGCCTCAAAGCCCTCCAAATGTCCACTTGCAGATTCTAGAAAAAGAGGGTTTCAGAGCTGCTCTGTCAAGAGAAAAGTTCTATTCTTGAAGTGGAACACAAACATCACAAAGCAGTTTCCTGAGAATGCTCCTGTTTAGTTTTTCTGTGAAGATGAACCCGTTTCCAACGAAATCTTCACAGAGGTCCACATATCCACTTGCAGAATCCAAAGAAAGAGAGTTTCAAAACTGCTCCATCAGCAGGATTGTTCACCTCTGTGAGTTGAATGCAGTCATCACAGGAAACATTCTGAGAATGCTTCTGTCTAGGTTTGATGTGAAGATATACCCTTTTCGAAGGAAGGCCACAAAGTGGTCCAAATATCCACTTGCAGATTCTACAAAAAGAGTGTTTGAAAGCTGAACTATGAAAGCAAGGTGCAAATCCTGTGAGTTGAATGCAAACATCACAAAGAAGTTTCTCAGAATGCTTTCCCTGTAGTTCTGGGAAGTTTATCCCGTTTCCAACGAAATCCTCAGAGAAGTCCAAATATCCACTTGCAGATTCTACAGAAAGTGTGTTTGGAAACTGCTCCATCTAAAGGAATGTTCAGCTCTGTTAGTTCAATCCAATGATCACTAATAATTGTCTGTGAATGCTTCCGTTTGGTTTTTAGATGAAGTTATTTCCTTTACTACAGTAGGCCTCAAAGCAGTCCAAATCTCCAATCGCAGATTCTACAAAAAGATTGTTTACAACCTGCTCTATCTATAGGAATGTTCAACTCTGTGAGTCGAATGCAATCATCACAAAGTAGTTTCTGAGAATGCTTCCATCTAGTTTTTATGTGAAGATTTTCCTTTTCCACCACAGGCCTCAAAGCCCTCCAAATGTCCACTTGCAGATTCTAGAATAAGAGGGTTTCAGAGCTGCTCTGTCAAGAGGAAAGTTCAATTCTTGAAGTGGAACACAAACATCACAAAGCAGTTTCTGAGAATGCTTCTGTTTAGTTTTTCTGTGAAGATGAACCCGTTTCCAACGAAATCTTCACAGAGGTCCACATATCCACTTGCAGAATCCAAAGAAAGAGAGTTTCAAAACTGCTCCATCAGCAGGATTGTTCACTTCTGTGAGTTGAATGCAGTCATCACAGGAAACATTCTGAGAATGCTTCTGTCTAGGTTTGATGTGAAGATATACCCGTTTCGAAGGAAGGCCACAAAGTGGTCCAAATATCCACTTGCAGATTCTACAAAAAGAGTGTTTGAAAGCTGAACTATGAAAGCAAGGTTCAACTCTGTGAGTTGAATGCAAACATCACAAAGAAGTTTCTCAGAATGCTTCCGTGTAGTTCTGGGAAGTTTATCCCGTTTCCAACGAAATCCTCAGAGAAGTCCAAATATCCACTTGCAGATTCTACAGAAAGTGTGTTTGGAAACTGCTCCATCTAAAGGAATGTTCAGCTCTGTTAGTTCAATCCAATGATCACTAAGAATTGTCTGTGAATGCTTCCGTTTGGTTTTTAGATGAAGTTATTTCCTTTACTACAGTAGGCCTCAAAGCAGTCCAAATCTCCAATCGCAGATTCTACAAAAAGATTGTTTACAACCTGCTCTATCTATAGGAATGTTCAACTCTGTGAGTCGAATGCAATCATCACAAAGTAGTTTCTGAGAATGCTTCCATCTAGTTTTTATGTGAAGATTTTCCTTTTCCACCACAGGCCTCAAAGCCCTCCAAATGTCCACTTGCAGATTCTAGAAAAAGAGGGTTTCAGAGCTGCTCTGTCAAGAGGAAAGTTCAATTCCTGAAGTGGAACAGAAACATCACAAAGCAGTTTCTGAGAATGCTCCTGTTTAGTTTTTCTGTGAAGATGAACCCGTTTCCAACGAAATCTTCACAGAGGTCCACATATCCACTTGCAGAATCCAAAGAAAGAGAGTTTCAAAACTGCTCCAACAGCAGGATTGTTCACCTCTGTGAGTTGAATGCAGTCATCACAGGAAACATTCTGAGAATGCTTCTGTCTAGGTTTGATGTGAAGATATACCCGTTTCGAAGGAAGGCCACAAAGTGGTCCAAATATCCACTTGCAGATTCTACAAAAAGAGTGTTTGAAAGCTGAACTATGAAAGCAAGGTTCAACTCTGTGAGTTGAATGCAAACATCACAAAGAAGTTTCTCAGAATGCTTCCGTGTAGTTCTGGGAAGTTTATCCCGTTTCCAACGAAATCCTCAGAGAAGTCCAAATATCCACTTGCAGATTCTACAGAAAGTGTGTTTGGAAACTGCTCCATCTAAAGGAATGTTCAGCTCTGTTAGTTCAATCCAATGATCACTAAGAATTGTCTGTGAATGCTTCCGTTTGGTTTTTAGATGAAGTTATTTCCTTTACTACAGTAGGCCTCAAAGCAGTCCAAATCTCCAATCGCAGATTCTACAAAAAGATTGTTTACAACCTGCTCTATCTATAGGAATGTTCAACTCTGTGAGTCGAATGCAATCATCCCAAAGTAGTTTCTGAGAATGCTTCCATCTAGTTTTTATGTGAAGATTTTCCTTTTCCACCACAGGCCTCAAAGCCCTCCAAATGTCCCCTTGCAGACTCTAGAAAAAGAGGGTTTCAGAGCTGCTCTGTCAAGAGGAAAGTTCAATTCTTGAAGTGGAACACAAACATCACAAAGCAGTTTCTGAGAATGCTCCTGTTTAGTTTTTCTGTGAAGATGAACCCGTTTCCAACGAAATCTTCACAGAGGTCCACATATCCACTTGCAGAATCCAAAGAAAGAGAGTTTCAAAACTGCTCCATCAGCAGGATTGTTCACCTCTGTGAGTTGAATGCAGTCATCACAGGAAACATTCTGAGAATGCTTCTGTCTAGGTTTGATGTGAAGATATACCCGTTTCGAAGGAAGGCCACAAAGTGGTCCAAATATCCACTTGCAGATTCTACAAAAAGAGTGTTTGAAAGCTGAACTATGAAAGCAAGGTTCAACTCTGTGAGTTGAATGCAAACATCACAAAGAAGTTTCTCACAATGCTTCCGTGTAGTTCTGGGAAGTTTATCCCGTTTCCAACGAAATCCTCAGAGAGGTCCAAATATCCACTTGCAGATTCTACAGAAAGTGTGTTTGGAAACTGCGCCATCTAAAGGAATGTTCAGCTCTGTTAGTTCAATGCCATGATCACTAAGAATTGTCTGTGAATGCTTCCGTTTGGTTTTTAGATGAAGTTATTTCCTTTACTACAGTAGGCCTCAAAGCAGTCCAAATCTCCAATCGCAGATTCTACAAAAAGATTGTTTACAACCTGCTCTATCTATAGGAATGTTCAACTCTGTGAGTCGAATGCAATCATCACAAAGTAGTTTCTGAGAATGCTTCCATCTAGTTTTTATGTGAAGATTTTCCTTTTCCACCACAGGCCTCAAAGCCCTCCAAATGTCCACTTGCAGATTCTAGAAAAAGAGGGTTTCAGAGCTGCTCTGACAAGAGGAAAGTTCAATTCCTGAAGTGGAACACAAACATCACAAAGCAGTTTCTGAGAATGCTTCTGTTTAGTTTTTCTGTGAAGATGAACCCGTTTCCAACGAAATCTTCACAGAGGTCCACATATCCACTTGCAGAATCCAAAGAAAGAGAGTTTCAAAACTGCTCCATCAGCAGGATTGTTCACCTCTGTGAGTTGAATGCAGTCATCACAGGAAACATTCTGAGAATGCTTCTGTCTAGGTTTGATGTGAAGATATACCCGTTTCGAAGGAAGGCCACAATGTGGTCCTAATATCCACTTGCAGATTCTACAGAAAGAGTGTTTCAAAGCTGAACTATGAAAGCAAGGTTCAACTCTGTGAGTTGAATGCAAACATCACAAAGAAGTTTCTCAGAATGCTTCTGTGTAGTTCTGGGAATTTATCCCGTTTCCAACGAAATCCTCAGAGAGGTCCAAATATCCACTTGCATATTCTACAGAAAGTGTGTTTGGAAACTGCGCCATCTAAAGGAATGTTCAGCTCTCTTAGTTCAATCCAATGATCACAAAGTATTGTCTGTGAATGCTTCCACTTGGTTTTTAGATGAAGTTATTTCCTTTAGTACTCTAGGCCTCAAAGCAGTCCAAATCTCCAATCGCAGATTCTACAAATGATTGTTTACAACCTGCTTTATCTATAGGAATGTTCAACTCTGTGAGTCGAATGCAATCATCACAAAGTAGTTTCTGAGAATGCTTCTATCTAGGTTTTATGTGAAGATATTTCCTTTTCCACCACAGGCCTCAAAGCCCTCCAAATGTCCACTTGCAGATTCTAGAAAAAGAGGGTTTCAGAGCTGTTCTGTCAAGAGGAAAGTTCAATTCTTGAAGTGGAACACAAACATCACAAAGCAGTTTCTGAGAATGCTTCTGTTTAGTTTTTCTTTGAAGATGAACCCGTTTCCAAGGAAATCGTCAAAGAGGTCCACATATCCACTTGCAGATTCCAAAGAAAGAGAGGTTCAAAACTGCTCCATCAACAGGATTGTTCACCTCTGTGCGTTGAATGCAGTCATCACAGGAAACATTCTGAGAATGCTTCTGTCTAGGTTTGATGTGAAGATATACCCGTTTCGAAGCAAGGCCACAAAGTGGTCCAAATATCCACTTGCAGATTCTACAAAAAGAGTGTTTGAAAGCTGAACTATGAAAGCAAGGTTCAACTCTGTGAGTTGAATGCAAACATCACAAAGAAGTTTCTCACAATGCTTCCGTGTAGTTCTGGGAAGTTTATCCCGTTTCCAACGAAATCCTCAGAGAAGTCCAAATATCCACTTGCAGATTCTACAGAAAGTGTGTTTGGAAACTGCGCCATCTAAGGGAATGTTCAGCTCTGTTAGATCAATCCAATGATCACTAAGAATTGTCTGTGAATGCTTCCGTTTGGTTTTTAGATGAAGTTATTTCCTTTACTACAGTAGGCCTCAAAGCAGTCCAAATCTCCAATCGCAGATTCTACAAAAAGATTGTTTACAACCTGCTCTATCTATAGGAATGTTCAACTCTGTGAGTCGAATGCAATCATCACAAAGTAGTTTCTGAGAATGCTTCCATCTAGTTTTTATGTGAAGATTTTCCTTTTCCACCACAGGCCTCAAAGCCCTCCAAATGTCCACTTGCAGATTCTAGAATAAGAGGGTTTCAGAGCTGCTCTGTCAAGAGGAAAGTTCAATTCCTGAAGTGGAACACAAACATCACAAAGCAGTTTCTGAGAATGTTTCTTTTTAGTTTTTCTGTGAAGATGAACCCGTTTCCAACGAAATCTTCACAGAGGTCCACATATCCACTTGCAGAAACCAAAGAAAGAGAGTTTAAAAACTGCTCCATCAGCAGGATTGTTCACCTCTGTGAGTTGAATGCAGTCATCACAGGAAACATTCTGAGAATGCTTCTGTCTAGGTTTGATGTGAAGATATACCCGTTTCGAAGGAAGGCCACAAAGTGGTCCAAATATCCACTTTCTGTAGATTCTAAAAAAAAGAGTGTTTGAAAGCTGAACTATGAAAGCAAGGTTCAACTCTATGAGTTGAATGCAAACATCACAAAGAAGTTTCTCAGAATGCTTCCGTGTAGTTCTGGGAAGTTTATCCCGTTTCCAACGAAATCCTCAGAGAAGTCCAAATATCCACTTGCAGATTCTACAGAAAGTGTGTTTGGAAACTGCTCCATCTAAAGGAATGTTCAGCTCTGTTAGTTCAATGCAATGATCACTACGAATTGTCTGTGAATGCTTCCGTTTGGTTTTTAGATGAAGTTATTTCCTTTACTACAGTAGGCCTCAAAGCAGTCCAAATCTCCAATCGCAGATTCTACAAAAAGATTGTTTACAACCTGCTCTATCTATAGGAATGTTCAACTCTGTGAGTCGAATGCAATCATCACAAAGTAGTTTCTGAGAATGCTTCCATCTAGTTTTTATGTGAAGATTTTCCTTTTCCACCACAGGCCTCAAAGCCCTCCAAATGTCCACTTGCAGATTCTAGAAAAAGAGGGTTTCAGAGCTGCTCTGTCAAGAGGAAAGTTCAATTCTTGAAGTGGAACACAAACATCACAAAGCAGTTTCTGAGAATGGTCCTGTTTAGTTTTTCTGTGAAGATGAACCCGTTTCCAACGAAATCTTCACAGAGGTCCACATATCCACTTGCAGAATCCAAAGAAAGAGAGTTTCAAAACTGCTCCATCAGCAGGATTGTTCACCTCTGTGAGTTGAATGCAGTCATCACAGGAAACATTCTGAGAATGCTTCTGTCTAGGTTTGATGTGAAGATATACCCGTTTCGAAGGAAGGCCACAAAGTGGTCCAAATATCCACTTGCAGATTCTACAAAAAGAGTGTTTGAAAGCTGAACTATGAAAGCAAGGTTCAACTCTGTGAGTTGAATGCAAACATCACAAAGAAGTTTCTCAGAATGCTTCCGTGTAGTTCTGGGAAGTTTAGCCCGTTTCCAACGAAATCCTCAGAGAGGTCCAAATATCCACTTGCAGATTCTACAGAAAGTGTGTTTGGAAACTGCTCCATCTAAAGGAATGTTCAGCTCTGTTAGTTCAATCCAATGATCACTAAGAATTGTCTGTGAATGCTTCCGTTTCGTTTTTAGATGAAGTTATTTCCTTTACTACAGTAGGCCTCAAAGCAGTCCAAATCTCCAATCGCAGATTCTACAAAAAGATTGTTTACAACCTGCTCTATCTATAGGAATGTTCAACTCTGTGAGTCGAATGCAATCATCACAAAGTAGTTTCTGAGAATGCTTCCATCTAGTTTTTATGTGAAGATTTTCCTTTTCCACCACAGGCCTCAAAGCCCTCCAAATGTCCACTTGCAGATTCTAGAATAAGAGGGTTTTAGAGCTGCTCTGTCAAGAGGAAAGTTCAATTCCTGAAGTGGAACACAAACATCACAAAGCAGTTTCTGAGAATGCTTCTGTTTAGTTTTTCTGTGAAGATGAACCCGTTTCCAACGAAATCTTCACAGAGGTCCACATATCCACTTGCAGAATCCAAAGAAAGAGAGTTTCAAAACTGCTCCATCAGCAGGATTGTTCACCTCTGTGAGTTGAATGCAGTCATCACAGGAAACATTCTGAGAATGCTTCTGTCTAGGTTTGATGTGAAGATATACCCGTTTCGAAGGAAGGCCACAAAGTGTTCCAAATATCCACTTGCAGATTCTACAAAAAGAGTGTTTGAAAGCTGAACTATGAAAGCAAGGTTCAACTCTGTGAGTTGAATGCAAACATCACAAAGAAGTTTCTCACAATGCTTCCCTGTAGTTCTGGGAAGTTTATCCCGTTTCCAACGAAATCCTCAGAGAGGTCCAAATATCCACTTGCAGATTCTACAGAAAGTGTGTTTGGAAACTGCGCCATCTAAAGGAATGTTCAGCTCTGTTAGTTCAATCCAATGATCACTAAGAATTGTCTGTGAATGCTTCCGTTTGGTTTTTAGATGAAGTTATTTCCTTTACTACAGTAGGCCTCAAAGCAGTCCAAATCTCCAATCGCAGATTCTACAAAAAGATTGTTTACAACCTGCTCTATCTATAGGAATGTTCAACTCTGTGAGTCGAATGCAATCATCACAAAGTAGTTTCTGAGAATGCTTCCATCTAGTTTTTATGTGAAGATTTTCCTTTTCCACCACAGGCCTCAAAGCCCTCCAAATGTCCACTTGCAGACTCTAGAAAAAGAGGGTTTCAGAGCTGCTCTGTCAAGAGGAAAGTTCAATTCTTGAAGTGGAACACAAACATCACAAAGCAGTTTCTGAGAATGCTCCTGTTTATTTTTTCTGTGAAGATGAACCCGTTTCCAACGAAATCTTCACAGAGGTCCACATATCAACTTGCAGAATCCAAAGAAAGAGAGTTTCAAAACTGCTCCATCAGCAGGATTGTTCACCTCTGTGAGTTGAATGCAGTCATCACAGGAAACATTCTGAGAATGCTTCTGTCTAGGTTTGATGTGAAGATATACCCGTTTCGAAGGAAGGCCACAAAGTGGTCCAAATATCCACTTGCAGATTCTACAAAAAGAGTGTTTGAAAGCTGAACTATGAAAGCAAGGTTCAACTCTGTGAGTTGTATGCAAACATCACAAAGAAGTTTCTCAGAATGCTTCCGTGTAGTTCTGGGAAGTTTATCCCGTTTCCAACGAAATCCTCAGAGAGGTCCAAATATCCACTTGCAGATTCTACAGAAAGTGTGTTTGGAAACTGCTCCATCTAAAGGAATGTTCAGCTGTGTTAGTTCAATCCAATGATCACTAAGAATTGTCTGTGAATGCTTCCGTTTGGTTTTTAGATGAAGTTATTTCCTTTACTACAGTAGGCCTCAAAGCAGTCCAAATCTCCAATCGCAGATTCTACAAAAAGATTGTTTACAACCTGCTCTATCTATAGGAATGTTCAACTCTGTGAGTCGAATGCAATCATCACAAAGTAGTTTCTGAGAATGCTTCCATCTAGTTTTTATGTGAAGAGTTTCCTTTTCCACCACAGGCCTCAAAGCCCTCCAAATGTCAACTTGCAGATTCTAGAAAAAGAGGGTTTCAGAGCTGCTCTGTCAAGAGGAAAGTTCAATTCCTGAAGTGGAACACAAACATCACAAAGCAGTTTCTGAGAATGCTCCTGTTTAGTTTTTCTGTGAAGATGAACCCGTTTCCAACGAAATCTTCACAGAGGTCCACATATCCACTTGCAGAATCCAAAGAAAGAGAGTTTCAAAACTGCTCCATCAGCAGGATTGTTCACCTCTGTGAGTTGAATGCAGTCATCACAGGAAACATTCTGAGAATGCTTCTGTCTAGGTTTGATGTGAAGATATACCCGTTTCGAAGGAAGGCCAGAAAGTGGTCCAAATATCCACTTGCAGATTCTACAAAAAGAGTGTTTGAAAGCTGAACTATGAAAGCAAGGTTCAACTCTGTGAGTTGAATGCAAACATCACAAAGAAGTTTCTCAGAATGCTGCCGTGTAGTTCTGGGAAGTTTATCCCGTTTCCAACGAAATCCTCAGAGAAGTCCAAATATCCACTTGCAGATTCTACAGAAAGTGTGTTTGGAAACTGCGCCATCTAAACTAATTTTCAGCTCTGTTAGTTCAATCCAATGATCACTAAGAATTGTCTTTGAATACCTCCGTTTGGTTTTTAGATGAAGTTATTTCCTTTACTACAGTAGGCCTCAAAGCAGTCCAAATCTCCAATCGCAGATTCTACAAAAAGATTGTTTTCAACCTGCTCTATCTATAGGAATGTTCAACTCTGTGAGTCGAATGCAATCATCACAAAGTAGTTTCTGAGAATGCTTCCATCTAGTTTTTATGTGAAGATTTTCCTTTTCCACCACAGGCCTCAAAGCCCTCCAAATGTCCACTTGCAGATTCTAGAAAAAGAGGGTTTCAGAGCTGCTCTGTCAAGAGGAAAGTTCAATTCTTGAAGTGGAACACAAACATCACAAAGCAGTTTCTGAGAATGCTCCTGTTTAGTTTTTCTGTGAAGATGAACCCGTTTCCAACGAAATCTTCACAGAGGTCCACATATCCACTTGCAGAATCCAAAGAAAGAGAGTTTCAAAACTGCTCCATCAGCAGGATTGTTCACCTCTGTGAGTTGAATGCAGTCATCACAGGAAACATTCTGAGAATGCTTCTGTCTAGGTTTGATGTGAAGATATACCCGTTTCGAAGGAAGGCCACAAAGTGGTCCAAATATCCACTTGCAGATTCTACAAAAAGAGTGTTTGAAAGCTGAACTATGAAAGCAAGGTTCAACTCTGTGAGTTGAATGCAAACATCACAAAGAAGTTTCTCACAATGCTTCCCTGTAGTTCTGGGAAGTTTATCCCGTTTCCAACGAAATCCTCAGAGAAGTCCAAATATCCACTTGCAGATTCTACAGAAAGTGTGTTTGGAAACTGCTCCATCTAAAGGAATGTTCAGCTCTGTTAGTTGAATCCAATGATCACTAATAATTGTCTGTGAATGCTTCCGTTTGGTTTTTAGATGAAGTAATTTCCTTTACTACAGTAGGCCTCAAAGCAGTCCAAATCTCCAATCGCAGATTCTACAAAAAGATTGTTTACAACCTGCTCTACCTATAGGAATGTTCAACTCTGTGAGTCGAATGCAATCATCACAAAGTAGTTTCTGAGAATGCTTCCATCTAGTTTTTATGTGAAGATTTTCCTTTTCCACCACAGGCCTCAAAGCCCTCCAAATGTCCACTTGCAGATTCTAGAAAAAGAGGGTTTCAGAGCTGCTCTGTCAAGAGGAAAGTTCAATTCTTGAAGTGGAACACAAACATCACAAAGCAGTTTCTGAGAATGCTTCTGTTTAGTTTTTCTGTGAAGATGAACCCGTTTCCAACGAAATCTTCACAGAGGTCCACATATCAACTTGCAGAATCCAAAGAAAGAGAGTTTCAAAACTGCTCCATCAACAGGATTGTTCACCTCTGTGAGTTGAATGCAGTCATCACAGGAAACATTCTGAGAATGCTTCTGTCTAGGTTTGATGTGAAGATATACCCGTTTCGAAGGAAGGCCACAAAGTGGTCCAAATATCCACTTGCAGATTCTACAAAAAGAGTGTTTGAAAGCTGAACTATGAAAGCAAGGTTCAACTCTGTGAGATGAATGCAAACATCACAAAGAAGTTTCTCACAATGCTTCCGTGTAGTTCTGGGAAGTTTATCCCGTTTCCAACGAAATCCTCAGAGAAGTCCAAATATCCACTTGCAGATTCTACAGAAAGTGTGTTTGGAAAATGCTCCATCTAAAGGAATGTTCAGCTCTGTTAGTTCAATGCAATGATCACTAAGAATTGTCTGTGAATGCTTCCGTTTGGTTTTTAGATGAAGTTATTTCCTTTACTACAGTAGGCCTCAAAGCAATCCAAATCTCCAATCGCAGATTCTACAAAAACATTGTTTACAACCTGCTCTATCTATAGGAATGTTCAACTCTGTGAGTCGAATGCAATCATCACAAAGTAGTTTCTGAGAATGCTTCCATCTAGTTTTTATGTGAAGATTTTCCTTTTGCACCACAGGCCTCAAAGCCCTCCAAATGTCCACTTGCAAATTCTAGAAAAAGAGGGTTTCAGAGCTGCTCTGTCAAGAGGAAAGTTCAATTCTTGATGTGGAACACAAACATCACAAAGCAGTTTCTGAGAATGCTTCTGTTTAGTTTTTCTGTGAAGATGAACCCGTTTCAAACGAAATCTTCACAGAGGTCCACATATCCACTTGCAGAATCCAAAGAAAGAGAGTTTCAAAACTGCTCCATCAACAGGATTGTTCACCTCTGTGAGTTGAATGCAGTCATCACAGGAAACATTCTGAGAATGCTTCTGTCTAGGTTTGATGTGAAGATATACCCGTTTCGAAGGAAGGCCACAAAGTGGTCCAAATATCCACTTGCAGATTCTACAAAAAGAGTGTTTGAAAGCTGAACTATGAAAGCAAGGTTCAACTCTGTGAGTTGAATGCAAACATCACAAAGACGTTTCTCAGAATGCTTCCGTGTAGTTCTGGGAAGTTTATCCCGTTTCCAACGATATCCTCAGAGAGGTCCAAATATCCACTTGCAGATTCTACAGAAAGTGTGTTTGGAAACTGCTCCATCTAAAGGAATGTGCAGCTCTGTTAGTTCAATCCAATGATC
The DNA here is from genome assembly GCF_000001405.40 of Homo sapiens. NCBI lineage: Eukaryota > Metazoa > Chordata > Mammalia > Primates > Hominidae > Homo > Homo sapiens. The sequence goes on along the minus strand of NC_000011.10, from coordinate 52,329,495 downwards.
ACTAAGAATTGTATGTGAATGCTTCCGTTTGGTTTTTAGATGAAGTTATTTCCTTTACTACAGTAGGCCTCAAAGCAGTCCAAATCTCCAATCGCAGATTCTACAAAAAGATTGTTTACAACCTGCTCTATCTATAGGAATGTTCAACTCTGTGAGTCGAATGCAATCATCACAAAGTAGTTTCTGAGAATGCTTCCATCTAGTTTTTATGTGAAGATTTTCCTTTTCCACCACAGGCCTCAAAGCCCTCCAAATGTCCACTTGCAGATTCTAGAAAAAGAGGGTTTCAGAGCTGCTCTGTCAAGAGGAAAGTTCAATTCTTGAAGTGGAACACAAACATCACAAAGCAGTTTCTGAGAATGCTCCTGTTTAGTTTTTCTGTGAAGATGAACCCGTTTCCAACGAAATCTTCACAGAGGTCCACATATCCACTTGCAGAATCCAAAGAAAGAGAGTTTCAAAACTGCTCCATCAGCAGGATTGTTCACCTCTGTGAGTTGAATGCAGTCATCACAGGAAACATTCTGAGAATGCTTCTGTCTAGGTTTGATGTGAAGATATACCCGTTTCGAAGGAAGGCCACAAAGTTGGTCTAAATATCCTCTTGCAGATTCTACAAAAAGAGTGTTTGAAAGCTGAACTATGAAAGCAAGGTTCAACTCTGTGAGTTGAATGCAAACATCACAAAGAAGTTTCTCACGAATGCTTCCGTGTAGTTCTGGGAAGTTTATCCCGTTTCCAACGAAATCCTCAGAGAGGTCCAAATATCCACTTGCAGATTCTACAGAAAGTGTGTTTGGAAACTGCTCCATCTAAAGGAATGTTCAGCTCTGTTAGTTCAATCCAATGATCACTAAGAATTGTCTGTGAATGCTTCCGTTTGGTTTTTAGATGAAGTTATTTCCTTTACTACAGTAGGCCTCAAAGCAGTCCAAATCTCCAAACGCAGATTCTACAAAAAGATTGTTTACAACCTGCTCTATCTATAGGAATGTTCAACTCTGTGAGTCGAATGCAATCATCACAGAGTAGCTTCTGAGAATGCTTCCATCTAGTTTTTATGTGAAGATTTTCCTTTTCCACCACAGGCCTCAAAGCCCTCCAAATGTCCACTTGCAGATTCTAGAATAAGAGGGTTTCAGAGCTGCTCTGTCAAGAGGAAAGTTCAATTCCTGAAGTGGAACACAAACATCACAAAGCAGTTTCTGAGAATGCTTCTGTTTAGTTTTTCTGTGAAGAGGAACCCGTTTCCAACGAAATCTTCACAGAGGTCCACATATCCACTTGCAGAATCCAAAGAAAAAGAGTTTCAAAACTGCTCCATCAGCAGGATTGTTCACCTCTGTGAGTTGAATGCAGTCACCACAGTAAACATTCTGAGAATGCTTCTGTCTAGGTTTGATGTGAAGATATACCCGTTTCGAAGTAAGGCCACAAAGTGGTCCAAATATCCACTTGCAGATTCTACAAAAAGAGTGTTTGAAAGCTGAACTATGAAAGCAAGGTTCAACTCTGTGAGTTGAATGCAAACATCACAAAGAAGTTTCTCACAATGCTTCCGTGTAGTTCTGGGAAGTTTATCCCGTTTCCAACGAAATCCTCAGAGAAGTCCAAATATCCACTTGCAGATTCTACAGAAAGTGTGTTTGGAAACTGCTCCATCTAAAGGAATGTTCAGCTCTGTTAGTTCAATCCAATGATCACTAAGTATTGTCTGTGAATGCTTCCGTTTGGTTTTTAGATGAAGTTATTTCCTTTACTACAGTAGGCCTCAAAGCAGTCCAAATCTCCAATCGCAGATTCTACAAAAAGATTGTTTACAACCTGCTCTATCTATAGGAATGTTCAACTCTGTGAGTCGAATGCAATCATCACAAAGTAGTTTCTGAGAATGCTTCCATCTAGTTTTTATGTGAAGATTTTCCTTTTCCACCACAGGCCTCAAAGCCCTCCAAATGTCCACATGCAGATTATAGAATAAGAGGGTTTCAGAGCTGCTCTGTCAAGAGGAAAGTTCAATTCCTGAAGTGGAACACAAACATCACAAAGCAGTTTCTGAGAATGCTTCTGTTTAGTTTTTCTGTGAAGATGAACCCGTTTCCAACGAAATCTTCACAGAGGTCCACATATCCACTTGCAGAATCCAAAGAAAGAGAGTTTCAAAACTGCTCCATCAGCAGGATTGTTCACCTCTGTGAGTTGAATGCAGTCATCACAGGAAACATTCTGAGAATGCTTCTGTCTAGGTTTGATGTGAAGATATACCCGTTTCGAAGGAAGGCCACAAAGTGGTCCAAATATCCACTTGCAGATTCTACAAAAAGAGTGTTTGAAAGCTGAACTATGAAAGCAAGGTTCAACTCTGTGAGTTGAATGCAAACATCACAAAGAAGTTTCTCAGAATGCTACCGTGTAGTTCTGGGAAGTTTATCCCGTTTCCAACGAAATCCTCAGAGAGGTCCAAATATCCACTTTCAGATTCTACAGAAAGTGTGTTTGGAAACTGCGCCATCTAAAGGAATGTTCAGCTCTGTTAGTTCAATGCAATGATCACTAAGAATTGTCTGTGAATGCTTCCGTTTGGTTTTTAGATGAAGTTATTTCCTTTACTACAGTAGGCCTCAAAGCAGTCCAAATCTCCAATCGCAGATTCTACAAAAGATTGTTTACAACCTGCTCTATCTATAGGAATGTTCAACTCTGTGAGTCGAATGCAATCATCACAAAGTAGTTTCTGAGAATACTTCCATCTAGTTTTTATGTGAAGATTTTCCTTTTCCACCACAGGCCTCAAAGCCCTCCAAATGTCCACTTGCAGATTCTAGAAAAAGAGGGTTTCAGAGCTGCTCGGTCAAGAGGAAAGTTCAATTCTTGAAGTGGAACACAAACATCACAAAGCAGTTTCTGAGAATGCTCCTGTTATTTTTTCTGTGAAGATGAACCCGTTTCCAACGAAATCTTCACAGAGTTCCACATATCCACTTGCAGAATCCAAAGAAAGGGAGTTTCAAAACTGCTCCATCAACAGGATTGTTCACCTCTGTGAGTTGAATGCAGTTATCACAGGAAACATTCTGAGAATGCTTCTGTCTAGGTTTGATGTGAAGATATACCCGTTTCGAAGGAAGGCCACAAAGTGGTCCAAATATCCACTTGCAGATTCTACAAAAAGAGTGTTTGAAAGCTGAACTATGAAAGCAAGTTTCAACTCTGTGAGTTGAATGCAAACATCACAAAGAAGTTTCTCAGAATGCTTCCGTGTAGTTCTGGGAAGTTTATCCCGTTTCCAACGAAATCCTCAGAGAGGTCCAAATATCCACTTGCAGATTCTACAGAAAGTGTGTTTGGAAACTGCGCCATTTAAAGGAATGTTCAGCTCTGTTAGTTCAATCCAATGATCACTAAGAATTGTCTGTGAATGCTTCCGTTTGGTTTTTAGATGAAGTTATTTCCTTTACTACAGTAGGCCTCAAAGCAGTCCAAATCTCCAATCGCAGATTCTACAAAAAGATTGTTTACAACCTGCTCTATCTATAGGAATATTCAACTCTGTGAGTCGAATGCAATCATCACAAAGTAGTTTCTGAGAATGCTTCCATCTAGTTTTTATGTGAAGATTTTCCTTTTCCACCACAGGCCTCAAAGCCCTCCAAATGTCCACTTGCAGATTCTAGAAAAAGAGGGTTTCAGAGCTGCTCTGTCAAGAGGAAAGTTCAATTCTTGAAGTGGAACACAAACATCACAAAGCAGTTTCTGAGAATGCTCCTGTTTAGTTTTTCTATGAAGATGAACCCGTTTCCAACGAAATCTTCACAGAGGTCCACATATCCACTTGCAGAATCCAAAGAAAGAGAGTTTCAAAACTGCTCCATCAGCAGGATTGTTCACCTCTGTGAGTTGAATGCAGTCATCACAGGAAACATTCTGAGAATGCTTCTGTCTAGGTTTGATGTGAAGATGTACCCGTTTCAAAGGAAGGCCACAAAGTGGTCCAAATATCCACTTGCAGATTCTACAAAAAGAGTGTTTGAAAGCTGAACTATGAAAGCAAGGTTCAACTCTGTGAGTTGAATGCCAACATCAGAAAGATGATTCTCACAATGCTTCCGTGTAGTTCTGGGAAGTTTATCCCGTTTCCAACGAAATCCTCAGAGAAGTCCAAATATCCACTTGCAGATTCTGCAGAAAGTGTGTTTGGAAACTGCTCCATCTAAAGGAATGTTCAGCTCTGTTAGCTCAATCCAATGATCACTAAGAATTGTCTGTGAATGCTTCCGTTTGGTTTTTAGATGAAGTTATTTCCTTTACTACAGTAGGCCTCAAAGCAGTCCAAATCTCCAATCGCAGATTCTACAAAAACATTGTTTACAACCTGCTCTATCTATAGTAATGTTCAACTCTGTGAGTCGAATGCAATCATCACAAAGTAGTTTCTGAGAATGCTTCCATCTAGTTTTTATGGGAAGATTTTCCTTTTCCACCACAGGCCTCAAAGCCCTCCAAATGTCCACTTGCAGATTCTAGAAAAAGAGGGTTTCAGAGCTGCTCTGTCAAGAGGAAAGTTCAATTCTTGAAGTGGAACACAAACATCACAAAGCAGTTTCTGAGAATGCTCCTGTTTAGTTTTTCTGTGAAGATGAACCCGTTTCCAACGAAATCTTCACAGAGGTCCACATATCCACTTGCAGAATCCAAAGAAAGAGAGTTTCAAAACTGCTCCATCAGCAGGATTGTTCACCTCTGTGAGTTGAATGCAGTCATCACAGGAAACATTCTGAGAATGCTTCTGTCAAGGTTTGATGTGAAGATATACCCGTTTCGAAGGAAGGCCACAAAGTTGTCCAAATATCCACTTGCAGATTCTACAAAAAGAGTGTTTGAAAGCTGAACTATGAAAGCAAGGTTCAACTCTGTGAGTTGAATGCAAACATCACAAAGAAGTTTCTCAGAATACTTCCGTGTAGTTCTGGGAAGTATATCCCGTTTCCAACGAAATCCTCAGAGAGGTCCAAATATCCACTTGCAGATTCTACAGAAAGTGTGTTTGGAAACTGCTCCATCTAAAGGAATGTTCAACTCTGTTAGTTCAATCCAATGATCACTAAGAATTGTCTGTGAATGCTTCCGTTTGGTTTTTAGATGAAGTTATTTCCTTTACTACAGTAGGCCTCAAAGCAGTCCAAATCTCCAATCGCAGATTCTACAAAAAGATTGTTTACAACCTGCTCTATCTATAGGAATGTTCAACTCTGTGAGTCGAATGCAATCATCACAAAGTAGTTTCTGAGAATGCTTCCATCTAGTTTTTATGTGAAGATTTTCCTTTTCCACCACAGGCCTCAAAGCCCTCCAAATGTCCACTTGCAGATTCTAGAAAAAGAGGGTTTCAGAGCTGCTCTATCAAGAGGAAAGTTCAATTCTTGAAGTGGAACACAAACATCACAAAGCAGTTTCTGAGAATGCTTCTGTTTAGTTTTTCTGTGAAGATGAACCCGTTTCCAACGAAATCTTCACAGAGGTCCACATATCAACTTGCAGAATCCAAAGAAAGAGAGTTTCAAAACTGCTCCATCAGCAGGATTGTTCACCTCTGTGAGTTGAATGCAGTCATCACAGGAAACATTCTGAGAATGCTTCTGTCTAGGGTTGATGTGAAGATATACCCGTTTCGAAGGAAGGCCACAAAGTGGTCCAAATATCCACTTGCAGATTCCACAAAAAGAGTGTTTGAAAGCTGACCTATGAAAGCAAGGTTCAACTCTGTGAGTTGAATGCAAACATCACAAAGAAGTTTCTCAGAATGCTTACGTGTAGTTCTGGGAAGTTTATCCCGTTTCCAAAGAAATCCTCACAGAGGTCCAAATATCCACTTGCAGATTCTACAGAAAGTGTGTTTGGAAACTGCTCCATCTAAAGGAATGTTCAGCTCTGTTAGTTCAATGCAATGATCACTAAGAATTGTCTGTGAATGCTTCCGTTTGGTTTTTAGATGAAGTTATTTCCTTTACTACAGTAGGCCTCAAAGCAGTCCAAATCTCCAATCGCAGATTCTACAAAAAGATTGTTTACAACCTGCTCTATCTATAGGAATGTTCAACTCTGTGAGTCGAATGCAATCATCACAAAGTAGTTTCTGAGAATGCTTCCATCTAGTTTTTATGTGAAGATTTTCCTTTTCCACCACAGGCCTCAAAGCCCTCCAAATGTCCACTTGCAGATTCTAGAAAAAGAGGGTTTCAGAGCTGCTCTGTCAAGAGGAAAGTTCAATTCCTGAAGTGGAACACAAACATCACAAAGCAGTTTGTGAGAATGCTTCTGTTTAGTTTTTCTGTGAAGATGAACCCGTTTCCAACGAAATCTTCACAGAGGTCCACATATCCACTTGCAGAATCCAAAGAAAGAGAGTTTCAAAACTGCTCCATCAGCAGGATTGTTAACCTCTGTGAGTTGAATGCAGTCATCACAGGAAACATTCTGAGAATGCTTCTGTCTAGGTTTGATGTGAAGATATACCCTTTTCAAAGGAAGGCCACAAAGTGGTCCAAATATCCACTTGCAGATTCTACAAAAAGAGTGTTTGAAAGCTGAACTATGAAAGCAAGGTTCAACTCTGTGAGTTGAATGCAAACATCACAAAGAAGTTTCTCACAATGCTCCGTGTAGTTCTGGGAAGTTTATCCCGTTTCCAACGAAATCCTCAGAGAAGTCCAAATATCCACTTGCAGATTCTACAGAAAGTGGGTTTGGCAACTGCTCCATCTAAAGGAATGTTCAGCTCTGTTAGTTCAATCCAATGATCACTAAGAATTGTCTGTGAATGCTTCCGTTTGGTTTTTAGATGAAGTTATTTCCTTTACTACAGTAGGCCTCAAAGCAATCCAAATCTCCAATCGCAGATTCTACAAAAACATTGTTTACAACCTGCTCTATCTATAAGAATGTTCAACTCTGTGAGTCGAATGCAATCATCACAAAGTAGTTTCTGAGAATGCTTCCATCTATTTTTTATGTGAAGATTTTCCTTTTCCACCACAGGCCTCAAAGCCCTCCAAATGTCCACTTGCAGATTCTAGAAAAAGAGGGTTTCAGAGCTGCTCTGTCAAGAGGAAAGTTCAATTCCTGAAGTGGAACACAAACATCACAAAGCAGTTTCTGAGAATGCTTCTGTTTAGTTTTTCTGTGAAGATGAACCCGTTTCCAACGAAATCTTCACAGAGGTCCACATATCAACTTGCAGAATCCAAAGAAAGAGAGTTTCAAAAGTGCTCCATCAACAGGATTGTTCACCTCTGTGAGTTGAATGCAGTCATCACAGGAAACATTCTGAGAATGCTTCTCTCTAGGTTTGATGTGAAGATATACCCGTTTCGAAGGAAGGCCACAAAGTGGTCCAAATATCCACTTGCAGATTCTACAAAAATAGTGTTTGAAAGCTGAACTATGAAAGCAAGGTTCAACTCTGTGAGTTGAATGCAAACATCACAAAGAAGTTTCTCAGAATGCTTCCGTGTAGTTCTGGGAAGTTTATCCCGTTTCCAACGAAATCCTCAGAGAAGTCCAAATATCCACTTGCAGATTCTACAGAAAGTGTGTTTGGAAAATGCTCCATCTAAAGGAATGTTCAGCTCTGTTAGTTCAATCCAATGATCACTAAGAATTGTCTGTGAATGCTTCCGTTTGGTTTTTAGATGAAGTAATTTCCTTTACTACAGAAGGCCTCAAAGCAGTCCAAATCTCCAATCGCAGATTCTACAAAAAGATTGTTTACAACCTGCTCTATCTATAGGAATGTTCAACTCTGTGAGTCGAATGCAATCATCACAAAGTAGTTTCTGAGAATGCTTCCATCTAGTTTTTATGTGAAGATTTTCCTTTTCCACCACAGGCCTCAAAGCCCTCCAAATGTCCACTTGCAGATTTTAGAATAAGAGGGTTTCAGAGCTGCTCTGTCAAAAGGAAAGTTCAATTCTTGAAGTGGAACACAAACATCACAAAGCAGTTTCTGAGAATGCTTCTGTTTAGTTTTTCTGTGAAGATGAACCCGTTTCCAACGAAATCTTCACAGAGGTCCACATATCCACTTGCAGAATCCAAAGAAAGAGAGTTTCAAAACTGCTCCATCAGCAGGATTGTTCACCTCTGTGAGTTGAATGCAGTCATCACAGGAAACATTCTGAGAATGCTTCTGTCTAGGTTTGATGTGAAGATATACCCGTTTCGAAGGAAGGCCACAAAGTGGTCCAAATATCTACTTGCAGATTCTACAAAAAGAGTGTTTGAAAGCTGAACTATGAAAGCAAGGTTCAACTCTGTGAGTTGAATGCAAACATCACAAAGAATTTTCTCAGAATGCTTCCGTGTAGTTCTGGGAAGTTTATCCCGTTTCCAACGAAACCCTCAGAGAGGTCAAAATGTCCACTTGCAGATTCTACAGAAAGTGTGTTTGGAAACTGCTCCATCTAAAGGAATGTTCAGCTCGGTTAGTTCAATCAAATGATCACTAAGAATTGTCTGTGAATGCTTCCGTTTGGTTTTTAGATGAAGTTATTTCCTTTACTACAGTAGGCCTCAAAGCAGTCCAAATCTCCAATCGCAGATTCTACAAAAAGATTGTTTACAACCTGCTCTATCTATAGGAATGTTCAACTCTGTGAGTCGAATGCAATCATCACAAAGTAGTTTCTGAGAATGCTTCCATCTAGTTTTTATGTGAAGATTTTCCTTTTCCACCACAGGCCTCAAAGCCCTCCAAATGTCCACTTGCAGATTCTAGAATAAGAGGGTTTCAGAGCTGCTCTGTCAAGAGGAAAGTTCAATTCCTGAAGTGGAACACAAACATCACAAAGCAGTTTCTGAGAATGCTTCTGTTTAGTTTTTCTGTGAAGATGAACCCGTTTCCAACGAAATCTTCACAGAGGTCCACATATCCACTTGCAGAATCCAAAGAAAGAGAGTTTCAAAACTGCTCCATCAGCAGGATTGTTCACCTCTGTGAGTTGAATGCAGTCATCACAGGAAACATTCTGAGAATGCTTCTGTCTAGGTTTGATGTGAAGATATACCCGTTTCGAAGGAAGGCCACAAAGTGGTCCAAATATCCACTTGCAGATTCTACAAAAAGAGTGTTTGAAAGCTGAACTATGAAAGCAAGGTTCAACTCTGTGAGTTGAATGCAAACATCACAAAGAAGTTTCTCAGAATGCTTCCGTGTAGTTCTGGGAAGTTTATCCCGTTTCCAACGAAATCCTCAGAGAAGTCCAAATATCCACTTGCAGATTCTGCAGAAAGTGTGTTTGGAGACTGCTCCATCTAAAGGAATGTTCAGCTCTGTTAGTTCAATCCAATGATCACTAAGAATTGTCTGTGAATGCTTCCGTTTGGTTTTTAGATGAAGTTATTTCCTTTACTACAGTAGGCCTCAAAGCAGTCCAAATCTCCAATCGCAGATTCTACAAAAACATTGTTTACAACCTGCTCTATCTATAGGAATGTTCAACTCTGTGAGTCGAATGCAATCATCACAAAGTAGTTTCTGAGAATGCTTCCATCTAGTTTTTATGTGAAGATTTTCCTTTTCCACCACAGGCCTCAAAGCCCTCCAAATGTCCACTTGCAGATTCTAGAAAAAGAGGGTTTCAGAGCTGCTCTGTCAAGAGGAAAGTTCAATTCTTGAAGTGGAACACAAACATCACAAAGCAGTTTCTGAGAATGTTCCTGTTTAGTTTTTCTGTGAAGATGAACCCGTTTCCAACGAAATCTTCACAGAGGTCCACATATCCACTTGCAGAATCCAAAGAAAGAGAGTTTCAAAACTGCTCCATCAGCAGGATTGTTCACCTCTGTGAGTTGAATGCAGTCATCACAGGAAACATTCTGAGAATGCTTCTGTCTAGGTTTGATGTGAAGATATACCCGTTTCGAAGGAAGGCCACAAAGTGGTCCAAATATCCACTTGCAGACCCTACAAAAAGAGTGTTTGATAGCTGAACTATGAAAGCAAGGTTCAACTCTGTGAGTTGAATGCAAACATCACAAAGAAGTTTCTCACAATGCTTCCGTGTATTTCTGGGAAGTTTATCCCGTTTCCAACGAAATCCTCAGAGAAGTCCAAATATCCACTTGCAGATTCTACAGAAAGTGTGTTTGGAAACTGCTCCATATAAAGGAATGTTCAGCTCTGTTAGTTCAATCCAATGATCACTAAGAATTGTCTGTGAATGCTTCCGTTTGGTTTTTAGATGAAGTTATTTCCTTTACTACAGTAGGCCTCAAAGCAATCCAAATCTCCAATCGCAGATTCTACAAAAAGATTGTTTACAACCTGCTCTATCTATAGGAATGTTCAACTCTGTGAGTCGAATGCAATCATCACAAAGTAGTTTCTGAGAATGCTTCCATCTAGTTTTTATGTGAAGATTTTCCTTTTCCACCACAGGCCTCAAAGCCCTCCAAATGTCCACTTACAGATTCTAGAAAAAGAGGGTGTCAGAGCTGCTCTGTCAAGAGGAAAGTTCAATTCTTGAAGTGGAACACAAACATCACAAAGCAGTTTCTGAGAATGCTTCTTTTTAGTTTTTCTGTGAAGATGAACCCGTTTCCAACGAAATCTTCACAGAGGTCCACATATCAACTTGCAGAATCCAAAGAAAGAGAGTTTCAAAAGTGCTCCATCAGCAGGATTGTTCACCTCTGTGAGTTGAATGCAGTCATCACAGGAAACATTCTGAGAATGCTTCTGTCTAGGTTTGATGTGAAGATATACCCGTTTCGAAGGAAGGCCACAAAGTGGTCCAAATATCCACTTGCAGATTCTACAAAAAGAGTGTTTGAAAGCTGAACTATGAAAGCAAGGTTCAACTCTGTGAGTTGAATGCAAACATCACAAAGAAGTTTCTCACAATGCTTCCGTGTAGTTCTGGGAAGTTTATCCCGTTTCCAACGAAATCCTCAGAGAAGTCCAAATATCCACTTGCAGATTCTACAGAAAGTGTGTTTGGAAACTGCTCCATCTAAAGGAATGTTCAGCTCTGTTAGTTCAATGCAATGATCACTAAGAATTGTCTGTGAATGCTTCCGTTTGGTTTTTAGATGAAGTTATTTCCTTTACTACAGTAGGCCTCAAAGCAGTCCAAATCTCCAATCGCAGATTCTACAAAAAGATTGTTTACAACCTGCTCTATCTATAGGAATGTTCAACTCTGTGAGTCGAATGCAATCATCACAAAGTAGTTTCTGAGAATGCTTCCATCTAGTTTTTATGTGAAGATTTTCCTTTTCCACCACAGGCCTCAAAGCCCTCCAAATGTCCACTTGCAGATTCTAGAATAAGAGGGTTTCAGAGCTGCTCTGTCAAGAGGAAAGTTCAATTCCTGAAATGGAACACAAGCATCACAAAGCAGTTTCTGAGAATGCTTCTGTTTAGTTTTTCTGTGAAGATGAACCCGTTTCCAAAGAAATCTTCACAGAGGTCCACATATCCACTTGCAGAATCCAAAGAAAGAGAGTTTCAAAACTGCTCCATCAGCAGGATTGTTCACCTCTGTGAGTTGAATGCAGTCATCACAGGAAACATTCTGAGAATGCTTCTGTCTAGGTTTGATGTGAAGATATACCCGTTTCGAAGGAAGGCCACAAAGTGGTCCAAATATCCACTTGCAGATTCTACAAAAAGAGTGTTTGAAAGCTGAACTATGAAAGCAAGGTTCAACTCTGTGAGTTGAATGCAAACATCACAAAGAAGTTTCTCAGAATGCTTCCGTGTAGTTCTGGGAAGTTTATCCCGTTTCCAACGAAATCCTCAGAGAGGTCCAAATATCCACTTGCAGATTCTACAGAAAGTGTGTTTGGAAACTGCTCCATCTAAAGGAATGTTCAGCTCTGTTAGTTCAATCCAATGATCACTAAGAATTGTCTGTGAATGCTTCCGTTTGGTTTTTAGATGAAGTTATTTCCTTTACTACAGTAGGCCTCAAAGCAGTCCAAATCTCCAATCGCAGATTCTACAAAAAGATTGTTTACAACCTGCTCTATCTATAGGAATGTTCAACTCTGTGAGTCGAATGCAATCACCACAAAGTAGTTTCTGAGAATGCTTCCATCTAGTTTTTATGTGAAGATTTTCCTTTTCCACCACAGGCCTCAAAGCCCTCCAAATGTCCACTTGCAGATTCTAGAAAAAGAGGGTTTCAGAGCTGCTCTTTCAAGAGAAAAGTTCAATTCCTGAAGTGGAACACAAACATCACAAAGCAGTTTCTGAGAATGCTTCTGTTTAGTTTTTCTGTGAAGATGAACCCGTTTCCAACGAAATCTTCACAGAGGTCCACATATCCACTTGTAGAATCCAAAGAAAGAGAGTTTCAAAACTGCTCCATCAGCAGGATTGTTCACCTCTGTGAGTTGAATGCAGTCATCACAGGAAACATTGTGAGAATGCTTCTGTCTAGGTTTGATGTGAAGATATACCCGTTTCGAAGGAAGGCCACAAAGTGGTCCAAATATCCACTTGCAGATTCTACAAAAAGAGTGTTTGAAAGCTGAACTATGAAAGCAAGGTTCAACTCTGTGAGTTGAATGCAAACATCACAAAGAAGTTTCTCAGAATGCTTCCGTGTAGTTCTGGGAAGTTTATCCCGTTTCCAACGAAATCCTCAGAGAGGTCCAAATATCCACTTGCAGATTCTACAGAAAGTGTGTTTGGAAACTGCTCCATCTAAAGGAATGTTCAGCTCTGTTAGTTCAATCCAATGATCACTAAGAATTGTCTGTGAATGCTTCCGTTTGGTTTTTAGATGAAGTTATTTCCTTTACTACAGTAGGCCTCAAAGCAGTCCAAATCTCCAATCGCAGATTCTACAAAAAGATTGTTTACAACCTGCTCTATCTATAGGAATGTTCAACTCTGTGAGTCGAATGCAATCATCACAAAGTAGTTTCTGAGAATGCTTCCATCTAGTTTTTATGTGAAGATTTTCCTTTTCCACCACAGGCCTCAAAGCCCTCCAAATGTCCACTTGCAGATTCTAGAAAAAGAGGGTTTCAGAGCTGCTCTGTCAAGAGGAAAGTTCAATTCTTGAAGTGGAAGACAAACATCACAAAGCAGTTTCTGAGAATGCTCCTGTTTAGTTTTTCTGTGAAGATGAACCCGTTTCCAACGAAATCTTCACAGAGGTCCACATATCCACTTGCAGAATCCAAAGAAAGAGAGTTTCAAAACTGCTCCATCAACAGGATTGTTCACCTCTGTGAGTTGAATGCAGTCATCACAGGAAACATTCTGAGAATGCTTCTGTCTAGGTTTGATGTGAAGATATACCCGTTTCGAAGGAAGGCCAAAAAGTGGTCCAAATATCCACTTGCAGATTCTACAAAAAGAGTGTTTGAAAGCTGAACTATGAAAGCAAGGTTCAACTCTGTGAGTTGAATGCAAACATCACAAAGAAGTTTCTCACAATGCTTCCGTGTAGTTCTGGGAAGTTTATCCCGTTTCCAACGAAATCCTCAGAGAAGTCCAAATATCCACTTGCAGATTCTACAGAAAGTGTGTTTGGAAACTGCTCCATCTAAAGGAATGTTCAGCTCTGTTAGTTCAATCCCATGATCACTAAGAATTGTCTGTGAATGCTTCCATTTTGGTTTTTAGATGAAGTTATTTCCTTTACTACAGTAGGCCTCAAAGCAGTCCAAATCTCCAATCGCAGATTCTACAAAAAGATTGTTTACAACCTGCTCTATCTATAGGAATGTTCAACTCTGTGAGTCGAATGCAATCATCACAAAGTAGTTTCTGAGAATGCTTCCATCTAGTTTTTATGTGAAGATTTTCCTTTTCCACCACAGGCCTCAAAGCCCTCCAAATGTCCACTTGCAGATTCTAGAAAAAGAGGGTTTCAGAGCTGCTCTGTCAAGAGGAAAGTTCAATTCTTGAAGTGGAACACAAACATCACAAAGCAGTTTCTGAGAATGCTCCTGTTTAGTTTTTCTGTGAAGATGAACCCGTTTCCAACGAAATCTTCACAGAGGTCCACATATCCACTTGCAGAATCCAAAGAAAGAGAGTTTCAAAACTGCTCCATCAACAGGATTGTTCACCTCTGTGAGTTGAATGCAGTCATCACAGGAAACATTCTGAGAATGCTTCTGTCTAGGTTTGATGTGAAGATATACCCGTTTCGAAGGAAGGCCACAAAGTGGTCCAAATATCCACTTGCAGATTCTACAAAAAGAGTGTTTGAAAGCTGAACTATGAAAGCAAGGTTCAACTCTGTGAGTTGAATGCAAACATCACAAAGAAGTTTCTCAGAATGCTTCCGTGTAGTTCTGGGAAGTTTATCCCGTTTCCAACGAAATCCTCAGAGAGGTCCAAATATCCACTTGCAGATTCTACAGAAAGTGTGTTTGGAAACTGCGCCATCTAAAGGAATGTTCAGCTCTGTTAGTTCAATGCAATGATCACTAAGAATTGTCTGTGAATGCTTCCGTTTGGTTTTTAGATGAAGTTATTTCCTTTACTACAGTAGGCCTCAAAGCAGTCCAAATCTCCAATCGCAGATTCTACAAAAAGATTGTTTACAACCTGCTCTATCTATAGGAATGTTCAACTCTGTGAGTCGAATGCAATCATCACAAAGTAGTTTCTGAGAATGCTTCCATCTAGTTTTTATGTGAAGATTTTCCTTTTCCACCACAGGCCTCAAAGCCCTCCAAATGTCCACTTGCAGATTCTAGAAAAAGAGGGTTTCAGAGCTGCTCTGTCAAGAGGAAAGTTCAATTCTTGAAGTGGAACACAAACATCACAAAGCAGTTTCTGAGAATGCTCCTGTTTAGTTTTTCTGTGAAGATGAACCCGTTTCCAACGAAATCTTCACAGTAGGTCCACATATCCACTTGCAGAATCCAAAGAAAGAGAGTTTCAAAACTGCTCCATCAGCAGGATTGTTCACCTCTGTGAGTTGAATGCAGTCATCACAGGAAACATTCTGAGAATGCTTCTGTCTAGGTTTGATGTGAAGATATACCCGTTTCGAAGGAAGGCCACAAAGTGGTCCAAATATCCACTTGCAGATTCTACAAAAAGAGTGTTTGAAAGCTGAACTATGAAAGCAAGGTTCAACTCTGTGAGTTGAATGCAAACATCACAAAGAAGTTTCTCACAATGCTCCCGTGTAGTTCTGGGAATTTTATCCCGTTTCCAACGAAATCCTCAGAGAAGTCCAAATATCCACTTGCAGATTCTACAGAAAGTGTGTTTGGAAACTGCGCCATCTAAAGGAATGTTCAGCTCTGTTAGTTCAATCCAATGATCACTAAGAATTGTCTGTGAATGCTTCCGTTTGGTTTTTAGATGAAGTTATTTCCTTTACTACAGTAGGCCTCCAAGCAGTCCAAATCTCCAATCGCAGATTCTACAAAAAGATGGTTTGCAACCTGCTCTATCTATAGGAATGTTCAACTCTGTGAGTCGAATGCAATCATCACAAAGTAGTTTCTGAGAATGCTTCCATCTAGGTTTTATGTGAAGATATTTCCTTTTCCACCACAGGCCTCAAAGCCCTCCAAATGTCCACTTGCAGATTCTAGAGAAAGAGGGTTTCAGAGCTGTTCTGTCAAGAGGAAAGTTCAATTCTTGAAGTGGAACACAAACATCACAAAGCAGTTTCTGAGAATGCTTCTGTTTAGTTTTTCTGTGAAGATGAACCCGTTTCCAACGAAATCTTCACAGAGGTCCACATATCCACTTGCAGAATCCAAAGAAAGAGAGTTTCAAAACTGCTCCATCAGCAGGATTGTTCACCTCTGTGAGTTGAATGCAGTCATCACAGGAAACATTCTGAGAATGCTTCTGTCTAGGTTTGATGTGAAGATATACCCGTTTCGAAGGAAGGCCACAAAGTGGTCCAAATATCCACTTGCAGATTCTACAAAAAGAGTGTTTGAAAGCTGAACTATGAAAGCAAGGTTCAACTCTGTGAGTTGAATGCAAACATCACAAAGAAGTTTCTCAGAATGCTTCCGTGTAGTTTTGGGAAGTTTATCCCGTTTCCAACGAAATCCTCAGAGAAGTCCAAATATCCACTTGCAGATTCTACAGAAAGTGGGTTTGGAAACTGCTCCATCTAAAGGAATTTTCAGCTCTGTTAGTTCAATCCAATGATCACTAAGAATTGTCTGTGAATGCTTCCGTTTGGTTTTTAGATGAAGTTATTTCCTTTACTACAGTAGGCCTCAAAGCAGTCCAAATCTCCAATCGCAGATTCTACAAAAAGATTGTTTACAACCTGCTCTATGTATAGGAATGTTCAACTCTGTGAGTCGAATGCAATCATCACAAAGTAGTTTCTGAGAATGCTTCCATCTAGTTTTTATGTGAAGATTTTCCTTTTCCACCACAGGCCTCAAAGCCCTCCAAATGTCCACTTGCAGATTCTAGAATAAGAGGGTTTCAGAGCTGCTCTGTCAAGAGGAAAGTTCAATTCCTGAAGTGGAACACAAACATCACAAAGCAGTTTCTGAGAATGCTCCTGTTTAGTTTTTCTGTGAAGATGAACCCGTTTCCAATGAAATCTTCACAGAGGTCCACATATCCACTTGCAGAATCCAAAGAAAGAGAGTTTCAAAACTGCTCCATCAGCAGGATTGTTCACCTCTGTGAGTTGAATGCAGTCATCACAGGAAACATTCTGAGAATGCTTCTGTCTAGGTTTGATGTGAAGATATACCCGTTTCGAAGGAAGGCCACAAAGTGGTCCAAATATCCACTTGCAGATTCTACAAAAAGAGTGTTTGAAAGCTGAACTATGAAAGCAAGGTTCAACTCTGTGAGTTGAATGCAAACATCACAAAGAAGTTTCTCACAATGCTTCCGTGTAGTTCTGGGAAGTTTATCCCGTTTCCAACGAAATCCTCAGAGAAGTCCACATATCCACTTGCAGATTCTACAGAAAGTGTGTTTGGAAACTGCACCATCTAAAGGAATGTTCAGCTCTGTTAGTTCAATGCAATGATCACTAAGAATTGTCTGTGAATGCTTCCGTTTGGTTTTTAGATGAAGTTATTTCCTTTACTACAGTAGGCCTCAAAGCAGTCCAAATCTCCAATCGCAGATTCTACAAAAAGATTGTTTACAACCTGCTCTATCTATAGGAATGTTCAACTCTGTGAGTCGAATGCAATCATCACAAAGTAGTTTCTGAGAATGCTTCCATCTAGTTTTTATGTGAAGATTTTCCTTTTCCACCACAGGCCTCAAAGCCCTCCAAATGTCCACTTGCAGATTCTAGAAAAAGAGGGTTTCAGAGCTGCTCTGTCAAGAGGAAAGTTCAATTCCTGAAGTGGAACACAAACATCACAAAGCAGTTTCTGAGAATGCTCCTGTTTAGTTTTTCTGTGAAGATGAACCCGTTTCCAATGAAATCTTCACAGAGGTCCACATATCCACTTGCAGAATCCAAAGAAAGAGAGTTTCAAAACTGCTCCATCAGCAGGATTGTTCCCCTCTGTGAGTTGAATGCAGTCATCTCAGGAAACATTCTGAGAATGTTTCTGTCTAGGTTTGATGTGAAGATATACCCGTTTCGAAGGAAGGCCACAAAGTGGTCCAAATATCCACTTGCAGATTCTACAAAAAGAGTGTTTGAAAGCTGAACTATGAAAGCAAGGTTCAACTCTGTGAGTTGAATGCAAACATCACAAAGAAGTTTCTCACAATGCTTCCGTGTAGTTCTGGGAAGTTTATCCCGTTTCCAACGAAATCCTCAGAGAAGTCCAAATATCCACTTGCAGATTCTACAGAAAGTGGGTTTGGAAACTGCTCCATCTAAAGGAATGTTCAGCTCTGTTAGTTCAATCCAATGATCACTAAGAATTGTCTGTGAATGCTTCCGTTTGGTTTTTAGATGAAGTTATTTCCTTTACTACAGTAGGCCTCAAAGCAGTCCAAATCTCCAATCGCAGATTCTACAAAAAGATTGTTTACAACCTGCTCTATCTATAGGAATGTTCAACTCTGTGAGTCGAATGCAATCATCACAAAGTAGTTTCTGAGAATGCTTCCATCTAGTTTTTATGTGAAGATTTTCCTTTTCCACCACAGGCCTCAAAGCCCTCCAAATGTCCACTTGCAGATTCTAGAAAAAGAGGGTTTCAGAGCTGCTCTGTCAAGAGGAAAGTTCAATTCTTGAAGTGGAACACAAACATAACAAAGTAGTTTCTGAGAATGCTCCTGTTTAGTTTTTCTGTGAAGATGAACCCGTTTCCAACGAAATCTTCACAGAGGTCCACATATCCACTTGCAGAATCCAAAGAAAGAGAGTTTCAAAACTGCTCCATCAGCAGGATTGTTCACCTCTGTGAGTTGAATGCAGTCATCACAGGAAACATTCCGAGAATGCTGCTGTCTAGGTTTGATGTGAAGATATACCCGTTTCGAAGGAAGGCCACAAAGTGGTCCAAATATCCACTTGCAGATTCTACAAAAAGAGTGTTTGAAAGCTGAACTATGAAAGCAAGGTTCAACTCTGTGAGTTGAATGCAAACATCACAAAGAAGTTTCTCAGAATGCTTCCGTGTAGTTCTGGGAAGTTTATCCCGTTTCCAACGAAATCCTCAGAGAGGTCCAAATATCCACTTGCAGATTCTACAGAAAGTGTGTTTGGAAACTGCGCCATCTAAAGGACTGTTCAGCTCTGTTAGTTCAATCCAATGATCACTAAGAATTGTCTGTGAATGCTTCCGTTTGGTTTTTAGATGAAGTTATTTCCTTTACTACAGTAGGCCTCAAAGCAGTCCAAATCTCCAATCGCAGATTCTACAAAAAGATTGTTTACAACCTGCTCTATCTATAGGAATGTTCAACTCTGTGAGTCGAATGCAATCATCACAAAGGAGTTTCTGAGAATGCTTCCATCTAGTTTTTATGTGAAGATTTTCCTTTTCCACCACAGGCCTCAAAGCCCTCCAAATGTCCACTTGCAGATTCTAGAATAAGAGGATTTCAGAGCTGCTCTGTCAAGAGGAAAGTTCAATTCCTGAAGTGGAACACAAACATCACAAAGCAGTTTCTGAGAATGCTTCTGTTTAGTTTTTCTGTGAAGATGAACCCGTTTCCAAAGAAATCTTCAGAGAGGTCCACATATCCACTGGCAGAATCCAAAGAAAGAGAGTTTCAAAACTGCTCCATCAGCAGGATTGTTCACCTCTGTGAGTTGAATGCAGTCATCACAGGAAACATTCTGAGAATGCTTCTGTCTAGGTTTGATGTGAAGATATACCCGTTTCGAAGGAAGGCCACAAAGTGGTCCAAATATCCACTTGCAGATTCTACAAAAAGAGTGTTTGAAAGCTGAACTATGAAAGCAAGGTTCAACTCTGTGAGTTGAATGCAAACATCACAAAGAAGTTTCTCAGAATGCTTCCGTGTAGTTCTGGGAAGTTTATCCCGTTTCCAACGAAATCCTCAGAGAGGTCCAAATATCCACTTGCAGATTCTACAGAAAGTGTGTTTGGAAACTGCTCCATCTAAAGGAATGTTCAGCTCTGTTAGTTCAATCCAATGATCACTAAGAATTGTCTGTGAATGCTTCCGTTTGGTTTTTAGATGAAGTTATTTCCTTTACTACAGTAGGCCTCAAAGCAGTCCAAATCTCCAATCGCAGACTCTACAAAAAGATTGTTTACAACCTGCTCTATCTATAGGAATGTTCAACTCTGTGAGTCGAATGCAGTCATCACAAAGTAGTTTCTGAGAATGCTTCCATCTAGTTTTTATGTGAAGATTTTCCTTTTCCACCACAGGCCTCAAAGCCCTCCAAATGTCCACTTGCAGATTCTAGAAAAAGAGGGTTTCAGAGCTGCTCTGTCAAGAGGAAAGTTAAATTCTTGAAGTGGAACACAAACATCACAAAGCAGTTTCTGAGAATGCTCCTGTTTAGTTTTTCTGTGAAGATGAACCCGTTTCCAACGAAATCTTCACAGAGGTCCACATATCCACTTGCAGAATCCAAAGAAAGAGAGTTTCAAAACTGCTCCATCAGCAGGATTGTTCACCTCTGTGAGTTGAATGCAGTCATCACAGGAAACATTCTGAGAATGCTTCTGTCTAGGTTTGATGTGAAGATATACCCGTTTCGAAGGAAGGCCACAAAGTGGTCCTAATATCCACTTGCAGATTCTACAAAAAGAGTGTTTCAAAGCTGAACTATGAAAGCAAGGTTCAACTCTGTGAGTTGAATGCAAACATCACAAAGAAGTTTCTCAGAATGCTTCCGTGTAGTTCTGGGAAGTTTATCCCGTTTCCAACGAAATCCTCAGAGAGGTCCAAATATCCACTTGCAGAGTCTACAGAAAGTGTGTTTGGAAACTGCGCCATCTAAAGGAATGTTCAGCAATGTTAGTTCAATCCAATGATCACTAAGAATTGTCTGTGAATGCTTCCGTTTGGTTTTTAGATGAAGTTATTTCCTTTACTACAGTAGGCCTCAAAGCAGTCCAAATCTCCAATCGCAGATTCTACAAAAAGATTGTTTACAACCTGCTCTATCTATAGGAATGTTCAACTCTGTGAGTCGAATGCAATCATCACAAAGTAGTTTCTGAGAATGCTTCCATCTAGTTTTTATGTGAAGATTTTCCTTTTCCACCACAGGCCTCAAAGCCCTCCAAATGTCCACTTGCAGATTCTAGAAAAAGAGGGTTTCAGAGCTGCTCTGTCAAGAGGAAAGTTCAATTCTTGAAGTGGAACACAAACATCACAAAGCAGTTTCTGAGAATGCTTCTGTTTAGTTTTTCTGTGAAGATGAACCCGTTTCCAACGAAATCTTCACAGAGGTCCACATATCCACTTGCAGAATCCAAAGAAAGAGAGTTTCAAAACTGCTCCATCAGCAGGATTGTTCACCTCTGTGAGTTGAATGCAGTCATCACAGGAAACATTCTGAGAATGCTTCTGTCTAGGTTTGATGTGAAGATATACCCGTTTCGAAGGAAGGCCTCAAGGTGGTCCAAATATCCACTTGCAGATTCTACAAATAGAGTGTTTGAAAGCTGAACTATGAAAGGAAGGTTCAACTCTGTGAGCTGAATGCAATCATCACAAAGTAGATTCTCAGAATGCTTCTATCTAGTTTTTATATGCAGATATTTACGTTTCCGCCACAGGCCTCAAAGCCCTTCAAATGTCCACTTGCAGATTCAAGAAAAGCAATGTTTCATAGCTGCTCTGTCAAGAGGAAATTTCAACTCTGCAAGTTGAACACAAACATCACAACGTAGTTTCTGAGAATGCTCCTGTTTAGTTTTACTGTGAATATGAACCCGTTTCCAACGAAATCTTCACAGAGGTCCACATATCCACTTGCAGAATCCAAAGAAAGAGAGTTTCAAAACTGCTCCATCAACAGGATTGTTCACCTCTGTGAGTTGAATGCAGTCATCACAGGAAACATTCTGAGAATGCTTCTGTCTAGGTTTGATGTGAAGATATACCCGTTTCGAAGGAAGGCCACAAAGTGGTCCAAATATCCACTTGCAGATTCTACAAAAAGAGTTTTTGAAAGCTGAACTAAGAAAGCAAGTTTCAACTCTGTGAGTTGAATGCAAACATCACAAAGAAGTTTCTCAGAATGCTTCCGTGTAGTTCTGGGAAGTTTATCCCGTTTCCAACGAAATCCTCAGAGAGGTCCAAATATCCACTTGCAGATTCTACAGAAAGTGGGTTTGGAAACTGCTCCATCTAAAGGAATGTTCAGCTCTGTTAGTTCAATCCAATGATCACTAAGAATTGTCTGTGAATGCTTCCGTTTGGTTTTTAGATGAAGTTATTTCCTTTACTACAGTAGGCCTCAAAGCAGTCCAAATCTCCAATCGCAGATTCTACAAAAAGATTGTTTACAACCTGCTCTATCTATAGGAATGTTCAAATCTGTGGGTCGAATGCAATCATCACAAAGTTGTTTCTGAGAATGCTTCCATCTAGTTTTTATGTGAAGATTTTCCTTTTCCACCACAGGCCTCAAAGCCCTTCAAATGTCCACTTGCAGATTCTAGAATAAGAGGGTTTCAGAGCTGCTCTGTCAAGAGGAAAGTTCAATTCCTGAAGTGGAACACAAACATCACAAAGCAGTTTCTGAGAATGCTTCTGTTTAGTTTTTCTGTGAAGATGAACCCGTTTCCAACGAAATCTTCACAGAGGTCCACATATCCACTTGCAGAATCCAATGAAAGAGAGTTTCAAAACTGCTCCATCAGCAGGATTGTTCACCTCTCTGAGTTGAATGCAGTCATCACAGGAAACATCCTGAGAATGCTTCTGTCTAGGTTTGATGTGAAGATATACCCGTTTCGAAGGAAGGCCACAAAGTGGTCCAAATATCCACTTGCAGATTCTACAAAAAGAGTGTTTGAAAGCTGAACTATGAAAGCAAGGTTCAACTCTGTGAGTTGAATGCAAACATCACAAAGAAGTTTCTCAGAATCCTTCCGTGTAGTTCTGGGAATTTTATCCCGTTTCTAACGAAATCCTCAGAGAGGTCCAAATATCCACTTGCAGATTCTACAGAAAGTGTGTTTGGAAACTGCGCCATCTAAAGGAATGTTCAGCTCTGTTAGTTCAATGCAATGATCACTAAGAATTGTCTGTGAATGCTTCCGTTTGGTTTTTAGATGAAGTTATTTCCTTTACTACAGTAGGCCTCAAAGCAGTCCAAATCTCCAATCGCAGATTCTACAAAAACATTGTTCACAACCTGCTCTATCTATAGGAATGTTCAACTCTGCGAGTCGAATGCAATCATCACAAAGTAGTTTCTGAGAATGCTTCCATCTAGTTTTTATGTGAAGATTTTCCTTTTCCACCACAGGCCTCAAGGCCCTCCAAATGTCCACTTGCAGATTCTAGAATAAGAGGGTTTCAGAGCTGCTCTGTCAAGAGGAAAGTTCAATTCCTGAAGTGGAACACAAACATCACAAAGCAGTTTCTGAGAATGCTTCTTTTTAGTTTTTCTGGGAAGATGAACCCGTTTCCAACGAAATCTTCACAGAGGTCCACATATCCACTTGCAGAACCCAAAGAAAGAGAGTTTCAAAACTGCTCCATCAGCAGGATTGTTCACCTCTGTGAGTTGAATGCAGTCATCACAGGAAACATTCTGAGAATGCTTCTGTCTAGGTTTGATGTGAAGATATACCCGTTTCGAAGGAAGGCCACAAAGTGGTCCAAATATCCACTTTCTGTAGATTCTACAAAAAGAGTGTTTGAAAGCTGAACTATGAAAGCAAGGTTCAACTCTGTGAGTTGAATGCAAACATCACAAAGAAGTTTCTCAGAATGCTTCCGTGTAGTTCTGGGAAGTTTATCCCGTTTCCAACGAAATCCTCAGAGAAGTCCAAATATCCACTTGCAGATTCTACAGAAAGTGTGTTTGGAAACTGCTCCATCTAAAGGAATGTTCAGCTCTGTTAGTTCAATCCAATGATCACTAAGAATTGTCTGTGAATGCTTCCGTTTGGTTTTTAGATGAAGTTATTTCCTTTACTACAGTAGGCCTCAAAGCAGTCCAAATCTCCAATCGCAGATTCTACAAAAAGATTGTTTACAACCTGCTCTATCTATAGGAATGTTCAACTCTGTGAGTCGAATGCAATCATCACAAAGGAGTTTCTGAGAATGCTTCCATCTAGTTTTTATGTGAAGAGTTTCCTTTTCCACCACAGGCCTCAAAGCCCTCCAAATGTCCACTTGCAGATTCTAGAAAAAGAGGGTTTCAGAGCTGCTCTGTCAAGAGGAAAGTTCAATTCTTGAAGTGGAACACAAACATCACAAAGCAGTTTCTGAGAATGCTCCTGTTTAGTTTTTCTGTGAAGATGAACCCGTTTCCAACGAAATCTTCACAGAGGTCCACATATCCACTTGCAGAATCCAAAGAAAGAGAGTTTCAAAACTGCTCCATCAGCAGGATTGTTCACCTCTGTGAGTTGAATGCAGTCATCACAGGAAACATTCTGAGAATGCTTCTGTCTAAGTTTGATGTGAAGATATACCCGTTTCGAAGGAAGGCCACAAAGTGGTCCAAATATCCACTTGCAGATTCTACAAAAAGAGTGTTTGAAAACTGAACTATGAAAGCAAGGATCATCTCTGTGAGTTGAATGCAAACAACACAAAGAAGTTTCTCAGAATGCTTCCGTGTAGTTCTGGGAAGTTTATCCTGTTTCCAACGAAATCCTCAGAGAGGTCCAAATATCCAGTTGCAGATTCTACAGAAAGTGTGTTTGGAAACTGCGCCATCTAAAGGAATGTTCAGCTCTGTTAGTTCAATCCAATGATCACTAAGAATTGTCTGTGAATGCTTCCGTTTGGTTTTTAGATGAAGTTATTTCCTTTACTACAGTAGGCCTCAAAGCAGTCCAAATCTCCAATCGCAGATTCTACAAAAAGATTGTTTACAACCTGCTCTATCTATAGGAATGTTCAACTCTGTGAGTCGAATGCAATCATCACAAAGTAGTTTCTGAGAATGCTTCCATCTAGTTTTTATGTGAAGATTTTCCTTTTCCACCACAGGCCTCAAAGCCCTCCAAATGTCCACTTGCAGATTCTAGAATAAGAGGGTTTCAGAGCTGCTCTGTCAAGAGGAAAGTTCAATTCCTGAAGTGGAACACAAACATCACAAAGCAGTTTCTGAGAATGTTTCTTTTTAGTTTTTCTGTGAAGATGAACCCGTTTCCAACGAAATCTTCACAGAGGTCCACATATCCACTTGCAGAATCCAAAGAAAGAGAGTTTCAAAACTGCTCCATCAACAGGATTGTTCACCTCTGTGAGTTGAATGCAGTCATCACAGGAAACATTCTGAGAATGCTTCTGTCTAGGTTTGATGTGAAGATATACCCGTTTCGAAGGAAGGCCACAAAGTGGTCCAAATATCCACTTGCAGATTCTACAAATAGAGTGTTTGAAAGCTGAACTATGAAAAGAAGGTTCAACTCTGTGAGTTGAATGCAAACGTGACAAAGAAGTTTCTGAGAATGCTTCCGTGTAGTTCTGGGAAGTTTATCCCATTTCCAACGAAATCCTCAGAGAAGTCCAAATATCCACGTGCAGATTCTACAGAAAGTGTGTTTGGAAACTGCGCCATCTAAAGGAATGTTCAGCTCTCTTAGTTCAATCCAATCATCACAAAGAATTTTCTGTGAATGCTTCCGTTTGGATTTTAGATGAAGTTATTTCCTTTAGTACCGTAGGCCTCAATGCAGTCCAAATCAGCAATCACAGATTCTACAAAAAGAGTGTTTACAAACTGCTCTATCCATTGGAAGGTTCAAGTCTGTGAGTCTAATGCAATCATCCCAAAGTAGTTTCTGAGAATGCTTCCATCTAGTTTTTATGTGAAGATTTTCGTTTTCCACCACAGGCCTCAAAGCCCTCCAAATGTCCACTTGCAGATTCTAGAATAAGAGGGTTTCAGAGCTGCTCTGTCAAGAGGAAAGTTCAATTCCTGAAGTGGAACACAAACATCACAAAGCAGTTTCTGAGAATGCTCCTGTTTAGTTTTTCTGTGAAGATGAACCCGTTTCCAACGAAATCTTCAAAGAGTTCCACATATCCACTTGCAGAATCCAAAGAAAGGGAGTTTCAAAACTGCTCCATCAAAAGGATGGTTCACCTCTGTGAGTTGAATGCAGTCATCACAGGAAACATTCTGAGAATGCTTCTGTCTAGGTTTCATGTGAAGATATACCCGTTTCGAAGGAAGGCCACAAAGTGGTCCACATATCCACTTGCAGATTCTACAAAAAGAGTCTTTGAAAGCTGAACTATGAAAGCAAGGTTCAACTCTGTGAGTTGAATGCAAACATCACAAAGAAGTTTCTCAGAATGCTTCCGTGTAGTTCTGGGAAGTTTATCCCGTTTCCAACGAAATCCTCAGAGAGGTCCAAATATCCACTTGCAGATTCTACAGAAAGTGTGTTTGGAAACTGCACCATCTAACGGAATTTTCAGCTCTGTTAGTTCAATGCAATGATCACTAAGAATTGTCTGTGAATGCTTCCGTTTGGTTTTTAGATGAAGTTATTTCCTTTACTACAGTAGGCCTCAAAGCAGTCCAAATCTCCAATCGCAGATTCTACAAAAAGATTGTTTACAACCTGCTCTATCTATAGGAATGTTCAACTCTGTGAGTCGAATGCAATCATCACAAAGTAGTTTCTGAGAATGCTTCCATCTAGTTTGTATGTGAAGATTTTCCTTTTCCACCACAGGCCTCAAAGCCCTCCAAATGTCCACTTGCAGATTCTAGAATAAGAGGGTTTCAGAGCTGCTCTGTCAAGAGGAAAGTTCAATTCTTGAAGTGGAACACAAACATCACAAAGTAGTTTCTGAGAATGCTCCTGTTTAGTTTTTCTGTGAAGATGAACCCGTTTCCAACGAAATCTTCACAGAGGTCCACATATCCACTTGCAGAATCCAAAGAAAGAGAGTTTCAAAACTGCTCCATCAGCAGGATTGTTCACCTCTGTGAGTTGAATGCAGTCATCACAGGAAACATTCTCAGAATGCTTCTGTCTAGGTTTGATGTGAAGATATACCCGTTCCGAAGGAAGGCCACAAAGTGGTCCAAATATCCACTTGCAGATTCTACAAAAAGAGTGTTTGAAAGCTGAACTATGAAAGCAAGGTTCAACTCTGTGAGTTGAATGCAAACATCACAAAGAAGTTTCTCAGAATGCTTCCGTGTAGTTCTGGGAAGTATAACCCATTTCCAACGAAATCCTCAGAGAAGTCCAAATATCCACTTGCAGATTCTACAGAAAGTGGGTTTGGAAACTGCTCCATCTAAAGGAATGTTCAGTTCTGTTAGTTCAATCCAATGATCACTAAGAATTGTCTGTGAATGCTTCCGTTTGGTTTTTAGATGAAGTTATTTCCTTTACTACAGTAGGCCTCAAAGCAGTCCAAATCTCCAATCGCAGATTCTACAAAAAGATTGTTTACAACCTGCTCTATCTATAGGAATGTTCAACTCTGTGAGTCGAATGCAATCATCACAAAGTAGTTTCTGAGAATGCTTCCATCTAGTTTTTATGTGAAGATTTTCCTTTTCCACCACAGGCCTCAAAGCCCTCCAAATGTCCACTTGCAGATTCTAGAAAAAGGGTTTCAGAGCTGCTCTGTCAAGAGGAAAGTTCAATTCTTGAAGTGGAACACAAACATCACAAAGTAGTTTCTGAGAATGCTTCTGTTTAGTTTTTCTGTGAAGATGAACCCGTTTCCAACGAAATCTTCACAGAGGTCCACATATCCACTTGCAGAATCCAAAGAAAGAGAGTTTCAAAAGTGCCCCATCAACAGGATTGTTCACCTCTCTGAGTTGAATGCAGTCATCACAGGAAACATTCTGAGAATGCTTCTGTCTAGGTTTGATGTGAAGATATACCCCTTTCGAAGGAAGGCCACAAAGTGGTCCAAATATCCACTTGCAGATTCTACAAAAAGAGTGTTTGAAAGCTGAACTATGAAAGCAAGGTTCAACTCTGTGAGTTGAATGCAAACATCACAAAGAAGTTTCTCAGAATGCTTCCGTGTAGTTCTGGGAAGTTTATCCCGTTTCCAACGAAATCCTCAGAGAGGTCCAAATATCCACCTGCAGATTCTACAGAAAGTCTGTTTGGAAACTGCGCCATCTAAAGGAATGTTCAGCTCTGTTAGTTCAATGGAATGATCACTAAGAATTGTCTGTGAATGCTTCCGTTTGGTTTTTAGATGAAGTTATTTCCTTTACTACAGTAGGCCTCAAAGCAGTCCAAATCTCCAATCGCAGATTCTACAAAAACATTGTTTACAACCTGCTCTATCTATAGGAATGTTCAACTCTGTGAGTCGAATGCAATCATCACAAAGTAGTTTCTGAGAATGCTTCCATCTAGTTTTTATGTGAAGATTTTCCTTTTCCACCACAGGCCTCAAAGCCCTCCAAATGTCCACTTGCAGATTCTAGAAAAAGAGGGTTTCAGAGCTGCTCTGTCAAGAGGAAAGTTCAATTCTTGAAGTGGAACACAAACATCACAAAGTAGTTTCTGAGAATGCTTCTGTTTAGTTTTTCTGTGAAGATGAACCCGTTTCCAACGAAATCTTCACAGAGGTCCACATATCCACTTGCAGAATCCAAAGAAAGAGAGTTTCAAAACTGCTCCATCAGCAGGATTGTTCACCTCTGTGAGTTGAATGCAGTCATCACAGGAAACATTCTGAGAATGCTTCTGTCTAGGTTTGATGTGAAGATATACCCGTTTCGAAGGAAGGCCACAAAGTGGTCCAAATATCCACTTGCAGATTCTACAAAAAGAGTGTTTGAAAGCTGAACTATGAAAGCAAGGTTCAACTCTGTGAGTTGAATGCAAACATCACAAAGAAGTTTCTCACAATGCTTCCGTGTAGTTCTGGGAAGTTTATCCCGTTTCCAACGAAATCCTCAGAGAAGTCCAAATATCCCCTTGCAGATTCTACAGAAAGTGGGTTTGGAAACTGCTCCATCTAAAGGAATGTTCAGCTCTGTTAGTTCAATCCAATGATCACTAAGAATTGTCTGTGAATGCTTCCGTTTGGTTTTTAGATGAAGTTATTTCCTTTACTACAGTAGGCCTCAAAGCAGTCCAAATCTCCAATCGCAGATTCTACAAAAAGATTGTTTACAACCTGCTCTATCTATAGGAATGTTCAACTCTGTGAGTCGAATGCAATCATCACAAAGTAGTTTCTGAGAATGCTTCCATCTAGTTTTTATGTGAAGATTTTCCTTTTCCACCACAGGCCTCAAAGCCCTCCAAATGTCCACTTGCAGATTCTAGAAAAAGAGGGTTTCAGAGCTGCTCTGTCAAGAGGAAAGTTCAATTCTTGAAGTGGAACACAAACATCACAAAGCAGTTTCTGAGAATGCTTGTGTTTAGTTTTTCTGTGAAGATGAACCCGTTTCCAACGAAATCTTCACAGAGGTCCACATATCTACTTGCAGAATCCAAAGAAAGAGAGTTTCAAAACTGCTCCATCAGCAGGATTGTTCACCTCTGTGAGTTGAATGCAGTCATCACAGGAAACATTCTGAGAATGCTTCTGTCAAGGTTTGATGTGAAGAGATACCCGTTTCGAAGGAAGGCCACAAAGTGGTCCAAATATCCACTTGCAGATTCTACAAAAAGAGTGTTTGAAAGCTGAACTATGAAAGCAAGGTTCAACTCTGTGAGTTGAATGCAACCATCACAAAGAAGTTTCTCAGAATGCTTCCCTGTAGTTCTGGGAAGTTTATCCCGTTTCCAACGAAATCCTCAGAGAAGTCCAAATATCCACTTGCAGATTCTACAGAAAGTGGGTTTGGAAACTGCTCCATCTAAAGGAATGTTCACCTCTGTTAGTTCAATGCAATGATCACTAAGAATTGTCTGTGAATGCTTCCGTTTGGTTTTTAGATGAAGTTATTTCCTTTACTACAGTAGGCCTCAAAGCAGTCCAAATCTCCAATCGCAGATTCTACAAAAAGATTGTTTACAACCTGCTCTATCTATAGGAATGTTCAACTCTGTGAGTCGAATGCAATCATCACAAAGTAGTTTCTGAGAATGCTTCCATCTAGTTTTTATGTGAAGATTTTCCTTTTCCACCACAGGCCTCAAAGCCCTCCAAATGTCCACTTGCAGATTCTAGAAAAAGAGGGTTTCAGAGCTGCTCTGTCAAGAGGAAAGTTCAATTCTTGAAGTGGAAGACAAACATGACAAAGCAGTTTCTGAGAATGCTCCTGTTTAGTTTTTCTGTGAAGATGAACCCGTTTCCAACGAAATCTACACAGAGGTCCACATATCCACTTGCACAATCCAAAGAAAGAGAGTTTCAAAACTGCTCCATCAGCAGGATTGTTCACCTCTGTGAGTTGAATGCAGTCATCACAGGAAACATTCTGAGAATGCTTCTGTCTAGGTTTGATGTGAAGATATACCCGTTTCGAAGGAAGGCCACAAAGTGGTCCAAATATCCACTTGCAGATTCTACAAAAAGAGTGTTTGAAAGCTGAACTATGAAAGCAAGGTTCAACTCTGTGAGTTGAATGCAAACATCACAAAGAAGTTTCTCAGAATGCTTCCGTGTAGTTCTGGGAAGTTTATCCCGTTTCCAACGAAATCCTCAGAGAAGTCCAAATATCCACTTGCAGATTCTACAGAAAGTGGGTTTGGAAACTGCTCCATCTAAAGGAATGTTCAGCTCTGTTAGTTCAATCCAATGATCACTAAGAATTGTCTGTGAATGCTTCCGTTTGGTTTTTAGATGAAGTTATTTCCTTTACTACAGTAGGCCTCAAAGCAGTCCAAATGTCCAATCGCAGATTCTACAAAAAGATTGTTTACAACCTGCTCTATCTATAGGAATGTTCAACTCTGTGAGTCGAATGCAATCATCACAAAGTAGTTTCTGAGAATGCTTCCATCTAGTTTTTATGTGAAGATTTTCCTTTTCCACCACAGGCCTCAAAGCCCTCCAAATGTCCACTTGCAGATTCTAGAATAAGAGGGTTTCAGAGCTGCTCTGTCAAGAGGAAAGTTCAATTCCTGAAGTGGAACACAAACATCACAAAGCAGTTTCTGAGAATGCTTCTGTTTAGTTTTTCTGTGAAGATGAACCCGTTTCCAACGAAATCTTCACAGAGGTCCACATATCCACTTGCAGAATCCAAAGAAAGAGAGTTTCAAAACTGCTCCATCAGCAGGATTGTTCACCTCTGTGAGTTGAATGCAGTCATCACAGGAAACATTCTGAGAATGCTTCTGTCTAGGTTTGATGTGAAGATATACCCGTTTCGAAGGAAGGCCACAAAGTGGTCCAAATATCCACTTGCAGATTCTACAAAAAGAGGGTTTGAAAGCTGAACTATGAAAGCAAGGTTCAACTCTGTGAGTTGAATGCAAACATCACAAAGAAGTTTCTCAGAATGCTTCCGTGTAGTTCTGGGAAGTTTATCCCGTTTCCAACGAAATCCTCAGAGAGGTCCAAATATCCACTTGCAGATTCTACAGAAAGTGTGTTTGGAAACTGCGCCATCTAAAGGAATGTTCAGCTCTGTTAATTCAATGCAATGATCACTAAGAATTGTCTGTGAATGCTTCCGTTTGGTTTTTAGATGAAGTTATTTCCTTTACTACAGTAGGCCTCAAAGCAGTCCAAATCTCCAATCGCAGATTCTACAAAAAGATTGTTTACAACCTGCTCTATCTATAGGAATGTTCAACTCTGTGAGTCGAATGCAATCATCACAAAGTAGTTTCTGAGAATGCTTCCATCTAGTTTTTATGTGAAGATTTTCCTTTTCCACCACAGGCCTCAAAGCCCTCCAAATGTCCACTTGCAGATTCTAGAAAAAGAGGGTTTCAGAGCTGCTCTGTCAAGAGGAAAGTTCAATTCTTGAAGTGGAACACAAACATCACAAAGCAGTTTCTGAGAATGCTTCTGTTTAGATTTTCTGTGAAGATGAACCCGTTTGCAACGAAATCTTCACAGAGGTCCACATATCAACTTGCAGAATCCAAAGAAAGAGAGTTTCAACACTGCTCCATCAACAGGATTGTTCACCTCTGTGAGTTGAATGCAGTCATCACAGGAAACATTCTGAGAATGCTTCTGTCTAGGTTTGATGTGAAGATATACCCGTTTCGAAGGAAGGCCACAAAGTGGTCCAAATATCCACTTGCAGATTCTACAAAAAGAGTGTTTGAAAGCTGAACTATGAAAGCAAGGTTCAACTCTGTGAGTTGAATGCAAACATCACAAAGAAGTTTCTCAGAATGCTTCCGTGTAGTTCTGGGAAGTTTATCCCGTTTCCAACGAAATCCTCAGAGAGGTCCAAATATCCACTTGCAGATTCTACAGAAAGTGTGTTTGGAAACTGCGCCATCTAAAGGAATGTTCAGCTCTGTTAGTTCAATGCAATGATCACTAAGAATTGTCTGTGATTGCTTCCGTTTGGTTTTTAGATGAAGTTATTTCCTTTACTACAGTAGGCCTCAAAGCAGTCCAAATCTCCAATCGCAGATTCTACAAAAAGATTGTTTACAACCTGCTCTATCTATAGGAATGTTCAACTCTGTGAGTCGAATGCAATCATCACATAGTAGTTTCTGAGAATGCTTCCATCTAGTTTTTATGTGAAGATTTTCCTTTTCCACCACAGGCCTCAAAGCCCTCCAAATGTCCACTTGCAGATTCTAGAATAAGAGGGTTTCAGAGCTGCTCTGTCAAGAGGAAAGTTCAATTCCTGAAGTGGAACACAAACATCACAAAGCAGTTTCTGAGAATGCTTCTGTTTAGTTTTTCTGTGAAGATGAACCCGTTTCCAAAGAAAATCTTCGCAGAGGTCCACATATCCACTTGCAGAATCCAAAGAAAGAGAGTTTCAAAAC
This sequence comes from Homo sapiens, assembly GCF_000001405.40. Taxonomy (NCBI): domain Eukaryota; kingdom Metazoa; phylum Chordata; class Mammalia; order Primates; family Hominidae; genus Homo; species Homo sapiens. The sequence continues at coordinate 52,297,065 of NC_000011.10, read as the reverse complement.
TGCTCCATCAGCAGGATTGTTCACCTCTGGGAGTTGAATGCAGTCATCACAGGAAACATTCTGAGAATGCTTCTGTCTAGGTTTGATGTGAAGATATACCCGTTTCGAAGGAAGGCCACAAAGTGGTCCAAATATCCACTTGCAGATTCTACAAAAAGAGTGTTTGAAAGCTGAACTATGAAAGCAAGGTTCAACTCTGTGAGTTGAATGCAAACATCACAAAGAAGTTTCTCAGCATGCTTCCGTGTAGTTCTGGGAAGTTTATCCCGTTTCCAACGAAATCCTCAGAGAAGTCCAAATATCCACTTGCAGATTCTACAGAAAGTGGGTTTGGAAACTGCTCCATCTAAAGGAATGTTCAGCTCTGTTAGTTCAATCCAATGATCACTAAGAATTGTCTGTGAATGCTTCCGTTTGGTTTTTAGATGAAGTTATTTCCTTTACTACAGTAGGCCTCAAAGCAGTCCTAATCTCCAATCGCAGATTCTACAAAAAGATTGTTTACAACCTGCTCTATCTATAGGAATGTTCAACACTGTGAGTCGAATGCAATCATCACAAAGTAGTTTCTGAGAATGCTTCCATCTAGTTTTTATGTGAAGATTTTCCTTTTCCACCACAGGCCTCAAAGCCCTCCAAATGTCCACTTGCAGATTCTAGAAAAAGAGGGTTTCAGAGCTGCTCTGTCAAGAGAAAAGTTCAATTCTTGAAGTGGAACACAAACATCACAAAGCAGTTTCAGAGAATGCTCTGTTTAGTTTTTCTGTGAAGATGAACCCGTTTCCAACGAAATCTTCACAGAGGTCCACATATCCACTTGCAGAATCCAAAGAAAGAGAGTTTCAAAACTGCTCCATCAGCAGGATTGTTCACCTCTGTGAGTTGAATGCAGTCATCACAGGAAACATTCTGAGAATGCTTCTGTCTAGGTTTGAAGTGAAGATATACCCGTTTCGAAGGAAGGCCACAAAGTGGTCCAAATATCCACTTGCAGATTCTACAAAAAGAGTGTTTGAAAGCTGAACTATGAAAGCAAGGTTCAACTCTGTGAGTTGAATGCAAACATCACAAAGAAGTTTCTCAGCATGCTTCCGTGTAGTTCTGGGAAGTTTATCCCGTTTCCAACGAAATCCTCAGAGAAGTCCAAATATCCACTTGCAGATTCTACAGAAAGTGTGTTTGGAAACTGCTCCATCTAAAGGAATGTTCAGCTCTGTTAGTTCAATGCAATGATCACTAAGAATTGTCTGTGAATGCTTCCGTTTGATTTTTAGATGAAGTTATTTCCTTTTCTACAGTAGGCCTCAAAGCAGTCCAAATCTCCAATCGCAGATTCTACAAAAAGATTGTTTACAACCTGCTCTATCTATACGAATGTTCAACTCTGTGAGTCGAATGCAATCATCACAGAGTAGTTTCTGAGAATCCTTCCATCTAGTTTTTATGTGAAGATTTTCCTTTTCCACCACAGGCCTCAAATCCCTCCAAATATCCACTTGCAGATTCTAGAAAAAGAGGGTTTCAGAGCTGCTCTGTCAAGAGGAAAGTTCAATTCTTGAAGTGGAACAAAAACTTCACAAAGTAGTTTCTGAGAATGCTTCTGTTTAGTTTTTCTGTGAAGATGAACCCGTTTCCAACGAAATCTTCACAGAGGTCCACATATCCACTTGCAGAATCCAAAGAAAGAGAGTTTCAAAACTGCTCCATCAGCAGGATTGTTCACCTCTGTGAGTTGAATGCAGTCATCACAGGAAACATTCTGAGAATGCTTCTGTCTAGGTTTGATGTGAAGATATAGCCGTTTCGAAGGAAGGCCACAAAGTGGTCCAAATATCCACTTGCAGATTCTACAAAAAGAGTGTTTGAAAGCTGAACTATGAAAGCAAGGTTGAATTCTGTGAGTTGAATGCAAACATCACAAAGAAGTTTCTCACAATGCTTCCGTGTAGTTCTGGGAAGTTTATCCCGTTTCCAACGAAATCCTCAGAGAAGTCCAAATATCCACTTGCAGATTCTACAGAAAGTGGGTTTGGAAACTGCTCCATCTAAAGGAATGTTCAGCTCTGTTAGTTCAATCCAATGATCACTAAGAATTGTCTGTGAATGCTTCCGTTTGGTTTTTAGATGAAGTTATTTCCTTTACTACAGTAGGCCTCAAAGCAGTCCAAATCTCCAATCGCAGATTGTACAAAAAGATTGTTTACAACCTGCTCTATCTATAGGAATGTTCAACTCTGTGAGTCGAATGCAATCATCACAAAGTAGTTTCTGAGAATGCTTCCATCTAGTTTTTATGTGAAGATTTTCCTTTTCCACCACAGGCCTCAAAGCCCTCCAAATGTCCACTTGCAGATTCTAGAAAAAGAGGGTTTCAGAGCTGCTCTGTCAAGAGGAAAGTTCAATTCCTGAAGTGGAACACAAACATCACAAAGCAGTTTCTGAGAATGCTTCTGTTTAGTTTTTCTGTGAAGATGAACCCGTTTCCAACGAAATCTTCACAGAGGTCCACATATCCACTTGCAGAATCCAAAGAAAGAGAGTTTCAAAACTGCTCCATCAGCAGGATTGTTCACCTCTGTGAGTTGAATGCAGTCATCACAGGAAACATTCTGAGAATGCTTCTGTCTAGGTTTGATGTGAAGATATACCCGTTTCGAAGGAAGGCCACAAAGTGGTCCAAATATCCACTTGCAGAGTCTACAAAAAGAGTGTTTGAAAGCTGAACTATGAAAGCAAGGTTCAACTCTGTGAGTTGAATGCAAACATCACAAAGAAGTTTCTCAGAATGCTTCCGTGTAGTTCTGGGAAGTTTATCCCGTTTCCAACGAAATCCTCAGAGAAGTCCAAATATCCACTTGCAGATTCTACAGAAAGTGTGTTTGGAAACTGCTCCATCTAAAGGAATGTTCAGCTCTGTTAGTTCAATCCAATGATCACTAAGAATTGTCTGTGAATGCTTCCGTTTGGTTTTTAGATGAAGTTATTTCCTTTACTACAGTAGGCCTCAAAGCAGTCCAAATCTCCAATCGCAGATTCTACAAAAAGATTGTTTACAACCTGCTCTATCTATAGGAATGTTCAACTCTATGAGTCGAATGCAATCATCACAAAGTAGTTTCTGAGAATGCTTCCATCTAGTTTTTATGTGAAGATTTTCCTTTTCCACCACAGGCCTCAAAGCCCTCCAAATGTCCACTTGCAGATTCTAGAAAAAGAGGGTTTCAGAGCTGCTCTGTCAAGAGGAAAGTTCAATTCTTGAAGTGGAACACAAACATCACAAAGTAGTTTCTGAGAATGCTTCTGTTTAGTTTTTCTGTGAAGATGAACCCGTTTCCAACGAAATCTTCACAGAGGTCCACATATCCACTTGCAGAATCCAAAGAAAGAGAGTTTCAAAACTGCTCCATCAGCAGGATTGTTCACCTCTGTGAGTTGAATGCAGTCATCACAGGAAACATTCTGAGAATGCTTCTGTCTAGGTTTGATGTGAAGATATACCCGTTTCGAAGGAAGGCCACAAAGTGGTCCAAATATCCACTTGCAGATTCTACAAAAAGAGTGTTTGAAAGCTGAACTATGAAAGCTGAACATCACAAAGAAGTTTCTCACAATGCTTCCCTGTAGTTCTGGGAAGTTTATCCCGTTTCCAACGAAACCCTCAGAGAGGTCCAAATATCCACTTGCAGATACTACAGAAAGTGTGTTTGGAAACTGCGCCATCGAAAGGAATATTCAGCTCTGTTAGTTCAATCCAATGATCACTAAGAATTGTCTGTGAATGCTTCCGTTTGGTTTTTAGATGAAGTTATTTCCTTTACTACAGTAGGCCTCAAAGCAGTCCAAATCTCCAATCGCAGATTCTACAAAAAGATTGTTTACAACCTGCTCTATCTATAGGAATGTTCAACTCTGTGAGTCGAATGCAATCATCCCAAAATAGTTTCTGAGAATGCTTCCATCTAGTTTTTATGTGAAGATTTTCCTTTTCCACCACAGGCCTCAAAGCCCTCCAAATGTCCACTTGCAGATTCTAGAATAAGAGGGTTTCAGAGCTGCTCTGTCAAGAGGAAAGTTCAATTCCTGAAGTGGAACACAAACATCACAAAGCAGTTTCTGAGAATGCTCCTGTTTAGTTTTTCTGTGAAGATGAACCCGTTTCCAACGAAATCTTCACAGAGGTCCACATATCCACTTGCAGAATCCAAAGAAAGAGAGTTTCAAAACTGCTCCATCAGCAGGATTGTTCACCTCTGTGAGTTGAATGCAGTCATCACAGGAAACATTCTGAGAATGCTTCTGTCTAGGTTTGATGTGAAGATATACCCGTTTCGAAGGAAGGCCACAAAGTGGCCCAAATATCCACTTGCAGATTCTACAAAAAGTTTGTTTACAACCTGCTCTATCTATAGGAATGTTCAACTCTGTGAGTCGAATGCAATCATCACAAAGTAGTTTCTCAGAATGCTTCCGTGTAGTTCTGGGAAGTTTATCCCGTTTCCAACGAAATCCTCAGAGAAGTCCAAATATCCACTTGCAGATTCTACAGAAAGTGTGTTTGGAAAATGCTCCATCTAAAGGAATGTTCAGCTCTGTTAGTTCAATGCAATGATCACTAAGAATTGTCTGTGAATGCTTCCGTTTGGTTTTTAGGTGAAGTTATTTCCTTTACTACAGTAGGCCTCAAAGCAGTCCAAATCTCCAATCGCAGATTCTACAAAAAGATTGTTTACAACCTGCTCTATCTATAGGAATGTTCAACTCCTGTGAGTCGAATGCAATCATCACAAAGTAGTTTCTGAGAATGCTTCCATCTAGTTTTTATGGGAAGATTTTCCTTTTCCACCACAGGCCTCAAAGCCCTCCAAATGTCCACTTGCAGATTCTAGAAAAAGAGGGTTTCAGAGCTGCTCTGTCAAGAGGAAAGTTCAATTCTTGAAGTGGAACACAAACATCACAAAGCAGTTTCTGAGAATGCTCCTGTTTAGTTTTTCTGTGAAGATGAACCCGTTTCCAACGAAATCTTCACAGAGGTCCACATATCCACTTGCAGAATCCAAAGAAAGAGAGTTTCAAAACTGCTCCATCAGCAGGATTGTTCACCTCTGTGAGTTGAATGCAGTCATCACAGGAAACATTCTGAGAATGCTTCTGTCTAGGTTTGATGTGAAGATATACCCGTTTCGAAGGAAGGCCACAAAGTGGTCCAAATATCCACTTGCAGATTCTACAAAAAGAGTGTTTGAAAGCTGAACTATGAAAGCAAGGTTCAACTCTGTGAGTTGTATGCAAACATGACAAGGAAGTTTCTCAGAATGCTTCCGTGTAGTTCTGGGAAGTTTATCCCGTTTCCAACGAAATCTTCAGAGAAGTCCAAATATCCACTTGCAGATTCTACAGAAAGTGTGTTTGGAAACTGCTCCACCTAAAGGAATGTTCAGCTCTGTTAGTTCAATCCAATGATCACTAAGAATTGTCTGTGGATGCTTCCGTTTGGTTTTTAGATGAAGTTATTTCCTTTACTACAGTAGGCCTCAAAGCATTCCAAATCTCCAATCGCAGATTCTACAAAAAGATTGTTTACAACCTGCTCTATCTATAGGAATGTTCAACTCTGTGAGTCGAATGCAATCATCACAAAGTAGTTTCTGAGAATGCTTCCATCTAGTTTTTATGTGAAGATTTTCCTTTTCCACCACAGGCCTCAAAGCCCTCCAAATGTCCACTTGCAGATTCTAGAATAAGAGGGTTTCAGAGCTGCTCTGTCAAGAGGAAAGTTCAATTCCTGAAGTGGAACACAAACATCACAAAGCAGTTTCTGAGAATGCTCCTGTTTAGTTTTTCTGTGAAGATGAACCCGTTTCCAACGAAATCTTCACAGAGGTCCACATATCCACTTGCAGAATCCAAAGAAAGAGAGTTTCAAAACTGCTCCATCAACAGGATTGTTCACCTCTGTGAGTTGAATGCAGTCATCACAGGAAACATTCTGAGAATGCTTCTGTCTAGGTTTGATGTGAAGATATACCCGTTTCGAAGGAAGGCCACAAAGTGGTCCAAATATCCACTTGCAGATTCTACAAAAAGAGTGTTTGAAAGCTGAACTATGAAAGCAAGGTTCAACTCTGTGAGTTGAATGCAAACATCACAAAGAAGTTTCTCAGAATGCTTCCGTGTAGTTCTGGGAAGCATATCCCGTTTCCAACGAAATCCTCAGAGAAGTCCAAATATCCACTTGCAGATTCTACAGAAAGTGGGTTTGGAAACTGCTCCATCTAAAGGAATGTTCAGCTCTGTTAGTTCAATCCAATGATCACTAAGAATTTTCTGTGAATGCTTCCGTTTGGTTTTTAGATGAAGTTATTTCCTTTACTACAGTAGGCCTCAAAATAGTCCAAATCTCCAATCGCAGATTCTACAAAAAGATTGTTTACAACCTGCTCTATCTATAGGAATGTTCAACTATGTGAGTCGAATGCAATCATCACAAAGTAGTTTCTGAGAATGCTTCCATCTAGTTTTTATGTGAAGATTTTCCTTTTCCACCACAGGCCTCAAAGCCCTCCAAATGTCCACTTGCAGATTCTAGAAAAAGAGGGTTTCAGAGCTGCTCTGTCAAGAGGAAAGTTCAATTCTTGAAGTGGAACACAAACATCACAAAGTAGTTTCTGAGAATGTTCCTGTTTAGTTTTTCTGTGAAGATGAACCCGTTTCCAACGAAATCTTCACAGAGGTCCATATATCCACATGCAGAATCCAAAGAAAGAGAGTTTCAAAACTGCTCCATCAGAAGGATTGTTCACCTCTGTGAGTTGAATGCAGTCATCACAGGAAACATTCTGAGAATGCTTCTGTCTAGGTTTGATGTGAAGATACACCCTTTTCAAAGGAAGGCCACAAAGTGGTCCAAATATCCACTTGCAGATTCTACAAAAAGAGTGTTTGAAAGCTGAACTATGAAAGCAAGGTTCAACTCTGTGAGTTGAATGCAAACATCACAAAGAAGTTTCTCACAATGCTTCCGTGTAGTTCTGGGAAGTTTATCCCGTTTCCAACGAATTCCTCAGAGAAGTCCAAATATCCACTTGCAGATTCTACAGAAAGTGGGTTTGGCAACTGCTCCATCTAAAGGAATGTTCAGCTCTGTTAGTTCAATCCAATGATCACTAAGAATTGTCTCTGAATGCATCCGTTTGGTTTTTAGATGAAGTTATTTCCTTTACTACAGTAGGCCTCAAAGCAGTCCAAATCTCCAATCGCAGATTCTACAAAAAGATTGTTTACAACCTGCTCTATCTATAGGAATGTTCAACTCTGTGAGTCGAATGCAATCATCACAAAGTAGTTTCTGAGAATGCTTCCATCTAGTTTTTATGTGAAGATTTTCCTTTTCCACCACAGGCCTCAAAGCCCTCCAAATGTCCACTTGCAGATTCTAGAATAAGAGGGTTTCAGAGCTGCTCTGTCAAGAGGAAAGTTCAATTCCTGAAGTGGAACACAAACATCACAAAGCAGTTTCTGAGAATGCTCCTGTTTAGTTTTTCTGTGAAGATGAACCCGTTTCCAACGAAATCTTCACAGAGGTCCACATATCCACTTGCAGAATCCAAAGAAAGAGAGTTTCAAAACTGCTCCATCAGCAGGATTGTTCACCTCTGTGAGTTGAATGCAGTCATCACAGGAAACATTCTGAGAATGCTTCTGTCTAGGTTTGATGTGAAGATATACCCGTTTCGAAGGAAGGCCACAAAGTGGTCCAAATATCCACTTGCAGATTCCACAAAAAGAGTGTTTGAAAGCTGAACTATGAAAGCAAGGTTCAACTCTGTGAGTTGAATGCAAACATCACAAAGAAGTTTCTCACAATGCTTCCGTGTAGTTCTGGGAAGTTTATCCCGTTTCCAACGAAATCCTCAGAGAGGTCCAAATATCCACTTGCAGATTCTACAGAAAGTGTGTTTGGAAACTGCTCCATCTAAAGGAATGTTCAGCTCTGTTAGTTCAATGCGATGATCACTAAGAATTGTCTATGAATGCTTCCGTTTGGTTTTTAGATGAAGTTATTTCCTTTACTACAGTATGCCTCAAAGCAGTCCAAATCTCCAATCGCAGATTCTACAAAAAGATTGTTTACAACCTGCTCTATCTATAGGAATGTTCAAATCTGTGAGTCGAATGCAATCATCACAAAGTAGTTTCTGAGAATGCTTTCCATCTAGTTTTTATGTGAAGATTTTCCTTTTCCACCACAGGCCTCAAAGCCCTCCAAATGTCCACTTGCAGACTCTAGAAAAAGAGGGTTTCAGAGCTGCTCTCTCAAGAGGAAAGTTCAATTCTTGAAGTGGAACACAAACAACACAAAGCTGTTTCTGAGAATGCTCCTGTTTAGTTTTTCTGTGAAGATGAACCCGTTTCCAACGAAATCTTCACAGAGGTCCACATATCCACTTGCAGAATCCAAAGAAAGAGAGTTTCAAAACTGCTCCATCAACAGGATTGTTCACCTCTGTGAGTTGAATGCAGTCATCACAGGAAACATTCTGAGAATGCTTCTGTCTAGGTTTGATGTGAAGATATACCCGTTTCGAAGCAAGGCCACAAAGTGGTCCAAATATCCACTTGCAGATTCTACAAAAAGAGTGTTTGAAAGCTGAACTATGAAAGCAAGGTTCAACTCTGTGAGTTGAATGCAAACATCACAAAGAAGTTTCTCAGAATGCTTCGTGTAGTTCTGGGAAGTTTAGCCCGTTTCCAACGAAATCCTCAGAGAAGTCCAAATATCCACTTGCAGATTCTACAGAAAGTGTGTTTGGAAACTGCTCCATCTAAAGGAATGTTCAGCTCTGTTAGTTCAATCCAATGATCACTAAGAATTGTCTGTGAATGCTTCCGTTTGGTTTTTAGATGAAGTTATTTCCTTTACTACAGTAGGCCTCAAAGCAGTCCAAATCTCCAATCGCAGATTCTACAAAAAGATTGTTTACAACCTGCTCTATCTATAGGAATGTTCAACTCTGTGAGTCGAATGCAATCATCACAAAGTAGTTTCTGAGAATGCTTCCATCTAGTTTTTATGTGAAGATTTTCCTTTTCCACCACAGGCCTCAAAGCCCTCCAAATGTCCACTTGCAGATTCTAGAAAAAGAGGGTTTCAGAGCTGCTCTGTCAAGAGGAAAGTTCAATTCTTGAAGTGGAACACAAACATCACAAAGTAGTTTCTGAGAATGCTTCTGTTTAGTTTTTCTGTGAAGATGAACCCGTTTCCAACGAAATCTTCACAGAGGTCCACATATCCACTTGCAGAATCCAAAGAAAGAGAGTTTCAAAACTGCTCCATCAACAGGATTGTTCACCTCTGTGAGTTGAATGCAGTCATCACAGGAAACATTCTGAGAATGCTTCTGTCTAGGTTTGATGTGAAGATATACCCGTTTCGAAGGAAGGCCACAAAGTGGTCCAAATATCCACTTGCAGATTCTACAAAAAGAGTGTTTGAAAGCTGAACTATGAAAGCAAGGTTCAACTCTGTGAGTTGAATGCAAACATCACAAAGAAGTTTCTCAGCATGCTTCCGTGTAGTTCTGGGAAGTTTATCCCGTTTCCAACGAAATCCTCAGAGAGGTCCAAATATCCACTTGCAGATTCTACAGAAAGTGGGTTTGGAAACTGCGCCATCTAAAGCAATGTTCAGCTCTGTTTGTTCAATGCAATGATCACTAAGAATTGTCTGTGAATGCTTCCGTTTGGTTTTTAGATGAAGTTATTTCCTTTACTACAGTAGGCCTCAAAGCAGTCCAAATCTCCAATCGCAGATTCTACAAAAAGATTGTTTACAACCTGCTCTATCTATAGGAATGTTCAACTCTGTGAGTCGAATGCAATCATCACAAAGTAGTTTCTGAGAATGCTTCTATCAAGGTTTTATGTGAAGATATTTCCTTTTCCACCACAGGCCTCAAAGCCCTCCAAATGTCCACTTGCAGATTCTAGAAAAAGAGGGTTTCAGAGCTGCTCTGTCAAGAGGAAAGTTCAATTCTTGAAGTGGAACACAAACATCACAAAGCAGTTTCTGAGAATGCTTCTGTTTAGTTTTTCTGTGAAGATAAACCCGTTTCCAACGAAATCTTCACAGAGGTCCACATATCCACTTGCAGAATCCAAAGAAAGAGAGTTTCAAAACTGGTCCATCAGCAGGATTGTTCACCTCTGTGAGTTGAATGCAGTCATCACAGGAAACATTCTGAGAATGCTTCTGTCTAGGTTTGATGTGAAGATATACCCGTTTCGAAGGAAGGCCACAAAGTGGTCCAAATATCCACTTGCAGATTCTACAAAAAGAGTGTTTGAAAGCTGAACTATGAAAGCAAGGTTCAACTCTGTGAGTTGAATGCAAACATCACAAAGAAGTTTCTCAGAATACTTCCGTGTAGTTCTGGGAAGTTTATCCCGTTTCCAACGAAATCCTCAGAGAAGTCCAAATATCCACTTGCAGATTCTACAGAAAGTGTGTTTGGAAACTGCGCCGTCTAAAGCAATGTTCAGCTCTGTTAGTTCAATGCAATGATCACTAAGAATTGTCTGTGAATGCTTCCGTTTGCTTTTTAGATGAAGTTATTTCCTTTACTACAGTAGGCCTCAAAGCAGTCCAAATCTCCAATCGCAGATTCTACAAAAAGATTGTTTACAACCTGCTCTATCTATAGGAATGTTCAACTCTGTGAGTCGAATGCAATCATCACAAAGTAGTTTCTGAGAATGCTTCCATCTAGTTTTTATGTGAAGATTTTCCTTTTCCACCACAGGCCTCAAAGCCCTCCAAATGTCCACTTGCAGATTCTAGAAAAAGAGGGTTTCAGAGCTGCTCTGTCAAGAGGAAAGTTCAATTCCTGAAGTGGAACACAAACATCACAAAGCAGTTTCTAAGAATGCTCCTGTTTAGTTTTTCTGTGAAGATGAACACTTTTCCAACGAAATCTTCACAGAGGTCCACATATCCACTTGCAGAATCCAAAGAAAGAGAGTTTCAAAACTGCTCCATCAGCAGGATTGTTCACCTCTGTGAGTTGAATGCAGTCATCACAGGAAACATTCTGAGAATGCTTCTGTCTAGCTTTGATGTGAAGATATACCCGTTTCGAAGGAAGGCCACAAAGTGGTCCAAATATCCACTTGCAGATTCTACGAAAAGAGTGTTTGAAAGCTGAACTATGAAAGCAAGGTTCAACTCTGTGAGTTGAATGCAAACATCACAAAGAAGTTTCTCAGAATGCTTCCGTGTAGTTCTGGGAACTTTATCCCGTTTCCAAAGAAATCCTCAGAGAAGTCCAAATATCCACTTGCAGATTCTACAGAAAGTGGGTTTGGAAACTGCTCCATCTAAAGGAATGTTCAGCTCTGTTAGTTCAATCCAATGATCACTAAGAATTGTCTGTGAATGCTTCCGTTTGGTTTTTAGATGAAGTTATTTCCTTTACTACAGTAGGCCTCAAAGCAGTCCAAATCTCCAATCGCAGATTCTACAAAAAGATTGTTTACAACCTGCTCTATCTATAGGAATGTTCAACTCTGTGAGTCGAATGCAATCATCACAAAGTAGTTTCTGAGAATGCTTCCATCTAGTTTTTATGTGAAGATTTTCCTTTTCCACCACAGGCCTCAAAGCCCTCCAAATGTCCACTTGCAGATTCTAGAAAAAGAGGGTTTCAGAGCTGCTCTGTCAAGAGGAAAGTTCAATTTCTTGAAGTGGAACACAAACATCACAAAGCAGTTTCTGAGAATGCTTCTGTTTAGTTTTTCTGTGAAGATGAACCCGTTTCCAACGAAATCTTCACAGAGGTCCACATATCCACATGCAGAATCCAAAGAAAGAGAGTTTCAAAACTGCTCCATCAGCAGGATTGTTCACCTCTGTGAGTTGAATGCAGTCATCACAGGAAACATTCTGAGAATGCTTCTGTCTAGGTTTGATGTGAAGATATACCCGTTTCGAAGGAAGGCCACAAAGTGGTCCAAATATCCACTTGCAGATTCTACAAAAAGAGTGTTTGAAAGCTGAACTATGAAAGCAAGGTTCAACTCTGTGAGTTGAATGCAAACATCACAAAGAAGTTTCTCACAATGCTTCCGTGTAGTTCTGGGAAGTTTATCCCGTTTCCAACGAAATCCTCAGAGAGGTCCAAATATCCACTTGCAGATTCTACAGAAAGTGTGTTTGGAAACTGCGCCATCTAAAGGAATGTTCAGCTCTGTTAGTTCAATGCAATGATCACTAAGAATTGTCTGTGAATGCTTCCGTTTGGTTTTTAGATGAAGTTATTTCCTTTACTACAGTAGGCCTCAAAGCAGTCCAAATCTCCAATCGCAGATTCTACAAAAAGATTGTTTACAACCTGCTCTATCTATAGGAATGTTCAACTCTGTGAGTCGAATGCAATCATCACAAAGTAGTTTCTGAGAATGCTTCCATCTAGTTTTTATGTGAAGATTTTCCTTTTCCACCACAGGCCTCAAAGCCCTCCAAATGTCCACTTGCAGATTCTAGAATAAGAGGATTTCAGAGCTGCTCTGTCAAGAGGAAAGTTCAATTCCTGAAGTGGAACACAAACATCACAAAGCAGTTTCTGAGAATGTTTCTGTTTAGTTTTTCTGTGAAGATGAACCCGTTTCCAACGAAATCTTCACAGAGGTCCACATATCCACTTGCAGAATCCAAAGAAAGAGAGTTTCAAAACTGCTCCATCAGCAGGATTGTTCACCTCTGTGAGTTGAATGCAGTCATCACAGGAAACATTCTGAGAATGCTTCTGTCTAGGTTTGATGTGAAGATATACCCGTTTGGAAGGAAGGCCAAATGTGGTCCAAATATCCACTTGCAGATTCTACAAAAAGAGTGTTTGAAAGCTGAACTATGAAAGCAAGGTTCAACACTGTGAGTTGAATGCAAACATCACAAAGAAGTTTCTCACAATTCTTCCGTGTAGTTCTGGGAAGTTTATCCCGTTTCCAACGAAATCCTCAGAGAAGTCCAAATATCTAGTTGCAGATTCTAGAGAAAGTGTGTTTGGAAACTGCTCCATCTAAAGGAATGTTCAGCTCTGTTAGTTCAATCCAATGATCACTAAGAATTGTCTGTGAATGCTTCCGTTTGGTTTTTAGATGAAGTTATTTCCTTTACTACAGTAGGCCTCAAAGCAGTCCAAATCTCCAATCGCAGATTCTACAAAAAGATTGTTTACAACCTGCTCTATCTATAGGAATGTTCAACTCTCTGAGTCGAATGCAATCATCACAAAGTAGTTTCTGAGAATGCTTCCATCTAGTTTTTATGTGAAGATTTTCCTTTTCCACCACAGGCCTCAAAGCCCTCCCAAATGTCCACTTGCAGATTCTAGAAAAAGAGGGTTTCAGAGCTGCTCTGTCAAGAGGAAAGTTCAATTCCTGAAGTGGAACACAAACATCACAAAGCAGTTTCTGAGAATGCTCCTGTTTAGTTTTTCTGTGATGATGAACCCGTTTCCAACGAAATCTTCACAGAGGTCCACATATCCACTTGCAGAATCCAAAGAAAGAGAGTTTCAAAACTGCTCCATCAGCAGGATTGTTCACCTCTGTGAGTTGAATGCAGTCATCACAGGAAACATTCTGAGAATGCTTCTGTCTAGGTTTGATGTGAAGATATACCCGTTTCGAAGGAAGGCCACAAAGTGGTCCAAATATCCACTTGCAGATTCTACAAAAAGAGTGTTTGAAAGCTGAACTATGAAAGCAAGGTTCAACTCTGTGAGTTGAATGCAAACATCACAAAGAAGTTTCTCAGCATGCTTCCGTGTAGTTCTGGGAAGTTTATCCCGTTTCCAATGAAATCCTCAGAGAAGTCCAAATATCCACTTGCAGATTCTACAGAAAGTGTGTTTGGAAACTGCGCCGTCTAAAGCAATGTTCAGCTCTGTTAGTTCAATGCAATGATCACTAAGAATTGTCTGTGAATGCTTCCGTTTGGTTTTTAGATGAAGTTATTTCCTTTACTACAGTAGGCCTCAAAGCAGTCCAAATCTCCAATCGCAGATTCTACAAAAAGATTGTTTACAACCTGCTCTATCTATAGGAATGTTCAACTCTGTGAGTCGAATGCAATCATCACAAAGTAGTTTCTGAGAATGCTTCCATCTAGTTTTTATGTGAAGATTTTCCTTTTCCACCACAGGCCTCAAAGCCCTCCAAATGTCCACTTGCAGATTCTAGAAAAAGAGGGTTTCAGAGCTGCTCTGTCAAGAGGAAAGTTCAATTCTTGAAGTGGAACACAAACATCACAAAGCAGTTTCTGAGAATGCTTCTGTTTAGTTTTTCTGTGAAGATGAACCCGTTTCCAACGAAATCTTCACAGAGGTCCACATATCAACTTGCAGAATCCAAAGAAAGAGAGTTTCAAAAGTGCTTCATCAACAGGATTGTTCACCTCTGTGAGTTGAATGCAGTCATCACAGGAAACATTCTGAGAATGCTTCTGTCTAGGTTTGATGTGAAGATATACCCGTTTCGAAGGAAGGCCACAAAGTGGTCCAAATATCCACTTGCAGATTCTACAAAAAGAGTGTTTGAAAGCTGAACTATGAAAGCAAGGTTCAACTCTGTGAGTGGAATGCAAACATCACAAAGAAGTTTCTCAGCATGCTTCCGTGTAGTTCTGGGAAGTTTATCCCGTTTCCAACGAAATCCTCAGAGAAGTCCAAATATCCACTTGCAGATTCTACAGAAAGTGTGTTTGGAAACTGCTCCATCTAAAGGAATGTTCAGCTCTGTCAGTTCAATCCAATGATCACTAAGAATTGTCTGTGAATGCTTCCGTTTGGTTTTTAGATGAAGTTATTTCCTTTACTACAGTAGGCCTCAAAGCAGTCCAAATCTCCAATCGCAGATTCTACAAAAAGATTGTTTACAACCTGCTCTATCTATAGGAATGTTCAACTCTGTGAGTCGAATGCAATCATCACAAAGTAGTTTCTGAGAATGCTTCCATCTAGTTTTTATGTGAAGATTTTCCTTTTCCACCACAGGCCTCAAAGCCCTCCAAATGTCCACTTGCAGATTCTAGAATAAGAGGGTTTCAGAGCTGCTCTGTCAAGAGGAAAGTTCAATTCCTGAAGTGGAACACAAACATCACAAAGCAGTTTCTGAGAATGCTCCTGTTTAGTTTTTCTGTGAAGATGAACCCGTTTCCAACGAAATCTTCACAGAGGTCCACATATCCACTTGCAGAATCCAAAGAAAGAGAGTTTCAAAACTGCTCCATCAGCAGGATTGTTCACCTCTGTGAGTTGAATGCAGTTATCACAGAAAACATTCTGAGAATGCTTCTGTCTAGGTTTGATGTGAAGATATACCCGTTTCGAAGGAAGGCCACAAAGTGGTCAAATATCCACTTGCAGATCCTACAAAAAGAGTGTTTGAAAGCTGAACCATGAAAGCAAGGTTCAACTCTGTGAGTTGAATGCAAACATCACAAAGAAGTTTCTCAGAATGCTTCCGTGTAGTTCTGGGAAGTTTATCCCTTTTCCAACGAAATCCTCAGAGAGGTCCAAATATCCACTTGCAGATTCTACAGAAAGTGTGTTTGGAAACTGCTCCATCTAAAGGAATGTTCAGCTCTGTTACTTCAATCCAATGATCACTAAGAATTGTCTGTGAATGCTTCCGTTTGGTTTTTAGATGAAGTTATTTCCTTTACTACAGTAGGCCTCAAAGCAGTCCAAATCTCCAATCGCAGATTCTACAAAAAGATTGTTTACAACCTGCTCTATCTATAGGAATGTTCAACTCTGTGAGTCGAATGCAATCATCACAAAGTAGTTTCTGAGAATGCTTCCATCTAGTTTTTATGTGAAGATTTTCCTTTTCCACCACAGGCCTAAAAGCCCTCCAAATGTCCACTTGCAGATTCTAGAAAAAGAGGGTTTCAGAGCTGCTCTGTCAAGAGGAAAGTTCAATTCCTGAAGTGGAACACAAACATCACAAAGCAGTTTCTGGGAATGCTCCTGTTTAGTTTTTCTGTGAAGATGAACCCGTTTCCAACGAAATCTTCACAGAGGTCCACATATCCACTTGCAGAATCCAAAGAAAGAGAGTTTCAAAACTGCTCCATCAGCAGGATTGTTCAACTCTGTGAGTTGAATGCAGTCATCACAGGAAACATTCTGAGAATGCTTCTGTCTAGGTTTGATGTGAAGATATACCCGTTTCGAAGGAAGGCCACAAAGTGGTCAAATATCCACTTGCAGATCCTACAAAAAGAGTGTTTGAAAGCTGAACTATGAAAGCAATGTTCAACTCTGTGAGTTGAATGCAAACATCACAAAGAAGTTTCTCAGAATGCTTCCGTGTAGTTCTGGGAAGTTTATCCCTTTTCCAACGAAATCCTCAGAGAGGTCCAAATATCCACTTGCAGATTCTACAGAAAGTGTGTTTGGAAACTGCTCCGTCTAAAGGAATGTTCAGCTCTGTTAGTTCAATCCAATGATCACTAAGAATTGTCTGCGAATGCTTCCGTTTGGTTTTTAGATGAAGTTATTTCCTTTACTACAGTAGGCCTCAAAGCAGTCCAAATCTCCAATCGCAGATTCTACAAAAAGATTGTTTACAACCTGCTCTATCTATAGGAATGTTCAACTCTTTGAGTCGAATGCAATCATCGCAAAGTAGTTTCTGAGAATGCTTCCATCTAGTTTTTATGTGAAGATTTTCCTTTTCCACCACTGGCCTCAAAGCCCTCCAAATGTCCACTTGCAGATTCTAGAATAAGAGGGTTTCAGAGCTGCTCTGTCAAGAGGAAAGTTCAATTCCTGAAGTGGAACACAAAAATCACAAAGCAGTTTCTGAGAATGCTTCTGTTTAGTTTTTCTGTGAAGATGAACCCGTTTCCAACGAAATCTTCACAGAGGTCCACATATCAACTTGCAGAATCCAAAGAAAGAGAGTTTCAAAAGTGCTCCATCAACAGGATTGTTCACCTCTGTGAGTTGAATGCAGTCATCACAGGAAACATTCTGAGAATGCTTCTGTCTAGGTTTGATGTGAAGATATACCCGTTTCGAAGGAAGGCCACAAAGTGGTCCAAATATCCACTTGCAGATTCTACAAAAAGAGTGTTTGAAAGCTGAACTATGAAAGCAAGGTTCAACTCGGTGAGTTGAATGCAAACATCACAAAGAAGTTTCTCAGAATGCTTCCGTGTAGTTCTGGGAAGTTTATCCCGTTTCCAACGAAATCCTCAGAGAAGTCCAAATATCCACTTGCAGATTCTACAGAAAGTGTGTTTGGAAACTGCTCCATCTAAAGGAGTGTTCAGCTCTGTTAGTTCAATCCAATATCACTAAGAATTATCTGTGAATGCTTCCGTTTGGTTTTTAGATGAAGTTATTTCCTTTACTACAGTAGGCCTCAAAGCAGTCCAAATCTCCAATCGCAGATTCTACAAAAAGATTGTTTACAACCTGCTCTATCTATAGGAATGTTCAACTCTGTGAGTCGAATGCAATCATCACAAAGTAGTTTCTGAGAATGCTTCCATCTAGTTTTTATGTGAAGATTTTCCTTTTCCACCACAGGCCTCAAAGCCCTCCAAATGTCCACTTGCAGATTCTAGAATAAGAGGGTTTCAGAGCTGCTCTGTCAAGAGGAAAGTTCAAGTCCTGAAGTGGAACACAAACATCACAAAGCAGTTTCTGAGAATGCTCCTGTTTAGTTTTTCTGTGAAGATGAACCCGTTTCCAACGAAATCTTCACAGTAGGTCCACATATCCACTTGCAGAATCCAAAGAAAGAGAGTTTCAAAACTGCTCCATCAACAGGATTGTTCACCTCTGTGAGTTGAATGCAGTCATCACAGGAAACATTCTGAGAATGCTTCTGTCTAGGTTTGATGTGAAGATATACCCGTTTCGAAGGAAGGCCACAAAGTGGTCCAAATATCCACTTGCAGATTCTACAAAAAGAGTGTTTGAAAGCTGAACTATGAATGCAAGGTTCAACTCTGTGAGTTGAATGCAAACATCACAAGGAAGTTTCTCAGAATGCTTCCGTGTAGTTCTGGGAAGTTTATCCTGTTTCCAACGAAATCCTCAGAGAGGTCCAAATATCCACTTGCAGATTCTACAGAAAGAGTGTTTGGAAACTCCTCCATCTAAAGGAATGTTCAGCTCTGTTAGTTCAATCCAATGATCACTAAGAATTGTCTGTGAATGCTTCCGTTTGGTTTTTAGATGAAGTTATTTCCTTTACTACAGTAGGCCTCAAAGCAGTCCAAATCTCCAATCGCAGATTCTACAAAAAGATTGTTTACAACCTGCTCTATCTATAGGAATGTTCAACTCTGTGAGTCGAATGCAATCATCACAAAGTAGTTTCTGAGAAGGCTTCCATCTAGTTTTTATGTGAAGATTTTCCTTTTCCACCACAGGCCTCAAAGCCCTCCAAATGTCCACTTGCAGATTCTAGAAAAAGAGGGTTTCAGAGCTGCTCTGTCAAGAGGAAAGTTCAATTCTTGAAGTGGAACACAAACATCACAAACCAGTTTCTGAGAATGCTCCTGTTTAGTTTTTCTGTGAAGATGAACCCGTTTCCAACGAAATCTTCACAGAGGTCCACATATCCACTTGCAGAATCCAAAGAAAGAGAGTTTCAAAACTGCTCCATCAGCAGGATTGTTCACCTCTGTGAGTTGAATGCAGTCATCACAGGAAACATTCTGAGAATGCTTCTGTCTAGGTTTGATGTGAAGATATACCCGTTTCGAAGGAAGGCCACAAAGTGGTCCAAATATCCACTTGCAGATTCTACAAAAAGAGTGTTTGAAAGCTGAACTATGAAAGCAAGGTTCAACTCTGTGAGTTGAATGCAAACATCACAAAGAAGTTTCTCACAATGCTTACGTGTAGTTCTGGGAAGTTTATCCCGTTTCCAACGAAATCCTCAGAGAGGTCCAAATATCCACTTGCAGATTCTACAGAAAGTGTGTTTGGAAACTGCGCCATCTAAAGGAATGTTCAGCTCTGTTAGTTCAATGCAATGATCACTAAGAATTGTCTGTGAATGCTTCCGTTTGGTTTTTAGATGAAGTTATTTCCTTTACTACAGTAGGCCTCAAAGCAGTCCAAATCTCCAATCGCAGATTCTACAAAAAGATTGTTTACAACCTGCTCTATCTATAGGAATGTTCAACTCTGTGAGTCGAATGCAATCATCACAAAGTAGTTTCTGAGAATGCTTCCATCTAGTTTTTATGTGAAGATTTTCCTTTTCCACCACAGGCCTCACAGCCCTCCAAATGTCCACTTGCAGATTGTGGAATAAGAGGGTTTCAGAGCTGCTCTGTCAAGAGGAAAGTTCAATTCCTGAAGTGGAACACAAACATCACAAAGCAGTTTCTGAGAATGTTTCTGTTTAGTTTTTCTGTGAAGATGAACCCGTTTCCAACGAAATCTTCACAGAGGTCCACATATCCACTTGCAGAATCCAAAGAAAGAGAGTTTCAAAACTGCTCCATCAGCAGGATTGTTCACCTCTGTGAGTTGAATGCAGTCATCACAGGAAACATTCTGAGAATGCTTCTGTCTAGGTTTGATGTGAAGATATACCCGTTTCGAAGGAAGGCCACAAAGTGGTCCAAATATCCACTTGCAGATTCTACAAAAAGAGTGTTTGAAAGCTGAACTATGAAAGCAAGGTTCAACTCTGTGAGTTGAATGCAAATATCACAAAGAAGTTTCTCACAATGCTTCCGTGTAGTTCTGGGAAGTTTATCCCGTTTCCAACGAAATCCTCAGAGAGGTCCAAATATCCACTTGCAGATTCTACAGAAAGTGTGTTTGGAAACTGCGCCATCTAAAGGAATGTTCAGCTCTGTTAGTTCAATGCAATGATCACTAAGAATTGTCTGTGAATGCTTCCGTTTGGTTTTTAGATGAAGTTATTTCCTTTACTACAGTAGGCCTCAAAGCAGTCCAAATCTCCAATCGCAGATTCTACAAAAAGATTGTTTACAACCTGCTCTATCTATAGGAATGTTCAACTCTGTGAGTCGAATGCAATCATCACAAAGTAGTTTCTGAGAATGCTTCCATCTAGTTTTTATGTGAAGATTTTCCTTTTCCACCACAGGCCTCAAAGCCCTCCAAATGTCCACTTGCAGATTCTAGAAAAAGAGGGTTTCAGAGCTGCTCTGTCAAGAGGAAAGTTCAATTCTTGAAGTGGAACACAAATATCACAAAGCAGTTTCTGAGAATGCTCCTGTTTAATTTTTCTGTGAAGATGAACCCGTTTCCAACGAAATCTTCACAGAGGTCCACATATCCACTTGCAGAATCCAAAGAAAGAGAGTTTCAAAACTCCTCCATCAGCAGGATTGTTCACCTCTGTGAGTTGAATGCAGTCATCACAGGAAACATTCTGAGAATGCTTCTGTCTAGGTTTGATGTGAAGATATACCCGTTTCGAAGGAAGGCCACAAAGTGGTCCAAATATCCACTTGCAGATTCTACAAAAAGAGTGTTTGAAAGCTGAACTATGAAAGCAAGGTTCAACTCTGTGAGTTGAATGCAAACATCACAAAGAAGTTTCACACAATGCTTCCGTGTAGTTCTGGGAAGTTTATCCCGTTTCCAACGAAATCCTCAGAGAGGTCCAAATATCCACTTGCAGACTCTACAGAAAGTGTGTTTGGAAACTGCGCCATCTAAAGGAATGTTCAGCTCTGTTAGTTCAATGCAATGATCACTAAGAATTGTCTGTGAATGCTTCCGTTTGGTTTTTAGATGAAGTTATTTCCTTTACTACAGTAGGCCTCAAAGCAGTCCAAATCTCCAATCGCAGATTCTACAAAAAGATTGTTTACAACCTGCTCTATCTATAGGAATGTTCAACTCTGTGAGTCGAATGCAATCATCACAAAGGAGTTTCTGAGAATGCTTCCATCTAGTTTTTATGTGAAGATTTTCCTTTTCCACCCCAGGACTCAAAGCCCTCCAAATGTCCACTTGCAGATTCTAGAAAAAGAGGGTTTCAGAGCTGCTCTGTCAAGAGGAAAGTTCAATTCTTGAAGTGGAACACAAACATCACAAAGCAGTATCAGAGAATGCTCCTGTTTAGTTTTTCTGTGAAGATGAACCCGTTTCCAACGAAATCTTCACAGAGGTCCGCATATCCACTTGCAGAATCCAAAGAAAGAGAGTTTCAAAACTGCTCCATCAGCAGGATTGTTCACCTCTGTGAGTTGAATGCAGTCATCACAGGAAACATTCTGAGAATGCTTCTGTCTAGGTTTGATGTGAAGATATACCCGTTTCGAAGGAAGGCCACAAAGTGGTCCAAATATCCACTTGCAGATTCTACAAAAAGAGTGTTTGAAAGCTGAACTATGAAAGCAAGGTTCAACTCTGTGAGTTGAATGCAAACATCACAAAGAAGTTTCTCACAATGCTTCCGTGTAGTTCTGGGAAGTTTATCCCGTTTCCAACGAAATCCTCAGAGAAGTCCAAATATCCACTTGCAGATTCTACAGAAAGTGTGTTTGGAAACTGCTCCATCTAAAGGAATGTTCAGCTCTGTTAGTTCAATCCAATGATCACTAAGAATTGTCTGTGAATGCTTCCGTTTGGTTTTTAGATGAAGTTATTTCCTTTACTACAGTAGGCCTCAAAGCAGTCCAAATCTCCAATCGCAGATTCTACAAAAAGATTGTTTACAACCTGCTCTATCTATAGGAATGTTCAACTCTGTGAGTCGAATGCAATCATCCCAAAGTAGTTTCTGAGAATGCTTCCATCTAGTTTTTATGTGAAGATTTTCCTTTTCCACCACAGGCCTCAAAGCCCTCCAAATGTCCACTTGCAGATTCTAGAATAAGAGGGTTTTAGAGCTGCTCTGTCAAGAGGAAAGTTCAATTCCTGAAGTGGAACACAAACATCACAAAGCAGTTTCTGAGAATGCTTCTGTTTAGTTTTTCTGTGAAGATGAACCCGTTTCCAACGAAATCTTCACAGAGGTCCACATATCAACTTGCAGAATCCAAAGAAAGAGAGTTTCAAAAGTGCTCCATCAACAGGATTGTTCACCTCTGTGAGTTGAATGCAGTCATCAACAGGAAACATTCTGAGAATGCTTCTGTCTAGGTTTGATGTGAAGATATACCCGTTTCGAAGGAAGGCCACAAAGTGGTCCAAATATCCACTTGCAGATTCTACAAAAAGAGTGTTTGAAAGCTGAACTATGAAAGCAAGGTTCAACTCTGTGAGTTGAATGCAAACATCACAAAGAAGTTTCTCACAATGCTTCCGTGTAGTTCTGGGAAGTTTATCCCGTTTCCAACGAAATCCTCAGAGAGGTCCAAATATCCACTTGCAGATTCTACAGAAAGTGTGTTTGGAAACTGCGCCATCTAAAGGAATGTTCAGCTCTGTTAGTTCAATGCAATGATCACTAAGAATTGTCTGTGAATGCTTCCGTTTGGTTTTTAGATGAAGTTATTTCCTTTACTGCAGTAGGCCTCAAAGCAGTCCAAATCTCCAATCGCAGATTCTACAAAAAGATTGTTTACAACCTGCTCTATCTATAGGAATGTTCAACTCTGTGAGTCGAATGCAATCATCACAAAGTAGTTTCTGAGAATGCTTCCATCTAGTTTTTATGTGAAGATTTTCCTTTTCCACCACAGGCCTCAAAGCCCTCCAAATGTCCACTTGCAGATTCTAGAAAAAGAGGGTTTCAGAGCTGCTCTGTCAAGAGGAAAGTTCAATTCTTGAAGTGGAACACAAACATCACAAAGCAGTTTCTGAGAATGCTCCTGTTTAGTTTTTCTGTGAAGATGAACCCGTTTCCAACGAAATCTTCACAGAGGTCCACATATCCACTTGCAGAATCCAAAGAAAGAGAGTTTCAAAACTGCTCCATCAGCAGGATTGTTCACCTCTGTGAGTTGAATGCAGTCATCACAGGAAACATTCTGAGAATGCTTCTGTCTAGGTTTGATGTGAAGATATACCCGTTTCGAAGGAAGGCCACAAAGTGGTCCAAATATCCACTTGCAGATTCTACAAAAAGAGTGTTTGAAAGCTGAACTATGAAAGCAAGGTTCAACTCTGTGAGTTGAATGCAAACATCACAAAGAAGTTTCTCACAATGCTTCCGTGTAGTTCTGGGAAGTTTATCCCGTTTCCAACGACATCCTCAGAGAAGTCCAAATATCCACTTGCAGATTCTACAGAAAGTGTGTTTGGAAACTGCTCCATCTAAAGGAATGTTCAGCTCTGTTAGTTCAATCCAATGATCACTAAGAATTGTCTGTGAATGCTTCCGTTTGGTTTTTAGATGAAGTTATTTCCTTTACTACAGTAGGCCTCAAAGCAGTCCAAATCTCCAATCGCAGATTCTACAAAAAGATTGTTTACAACCTGCTCTATCTATAGGAATGTTCAACTCTGTGAGTCGAATGCAATCATCACAAAGTAGTTTCTGAGAATGCTTCCATCTAGTTTTTATGTGAAGATTTTCCTTTTCCACCACAGGCCTCAAAGCCCTTCAAATGTCCACTTGCAGATTCTGGAAAAAGAGGGTTTCAGAGCTGCTCTGTCAAGAGGAAAGTTCAATTCCTGAAGTGGAACACAAACATCACAAAGCAGTTTCTGAGAATGCTCCTGTTTAGTTTTTCTGTGAAGATGAACCCGTTTCCAACGAAATCTTCACAGAGGTCCACATATCCACTTGCAGAATCCAAAGAAAGAGAGTTTCAACACTGCTCCATCAGCAGGATTGTTCACCTCTGTGAGTTGAATGCAGTCATCACAGGAAACATTCTGAGAATGCTTCTGTCTAGGTTTGATGTGAAGATATACCCGTTTCGAAGGAAGGCCACAAAGTGGTCCAAATATCCACTTGCAGATTCTACAAAAAGAGTGTTTGAAAGCTGAACTATGAAAGCAAGGTTCAACTCTGTGAGTTGAATGCAAACATCACAAAGATGTTTCTCAGCATGCTTCCGTGTAGTTCTGGGAAGTTTAGCCCTTTTCCAACGAAATCCTCAGAGAGGTCCAAATATCCACTTGCAGATTCTACAGAAAGTGTGTTTGGAAACTGTGCCATCTAAAGGAATGTTCAGCTCTGTTAGTTCAATCCAATGATCACTAAGAATTTTCTGTGAATGCTTCCGTTTGGTTTTTAGATGAAGTTATTTCCTTTACTACAGTAGGCCTCAAAGCAGTCCAAATCTCCAATCGCAGATTCTACAAAAAGATTGTTTACAACCTGCTCTATCTATAGGAATGTTCAACTCTGTGAGTCGAATGCAATCATCACAAAGTAGTTTCTGAGAATGCTTCCATCTAGTTTTTATGTGAAGATTTTCCTTTTCCACCACAGGCCTCAAAGCCCTCCAAATGTCCACTTGCAGATTCTAGAATAAGAGGGTTTCAGAGCTGCTCTGTCAAGAGGAAAGTTCAATTCCTGAAGTGGAACACAAACATCACAAAGCAGTTTCTGAGAATGCTTCTGTTTAGTTTTTCTGTGAAGATGAACCCGTTTCCAACGAAATCTTCACAGAGGTCCACATATCCACTTGCAGAATCCAAAGAAAGAGAGTTTCAAAACTGCTCCATCAGCAGGATTGTTCACCTCTGTGAGTTGAATGCAGTCATCACAGGAAACATTCTGAGAATGCTTCTGTCTAGGTTTGATGTGAAGATATACCCGTTTCGAAGGAAGGCCAAAAATGGTCCAAATATCCACTTGCAGATTCTACAAAAAGAGTGTTTGAAAGCTGAACTATGAAAGCAAGGTTCAACTCTGTGAGTTAAATGCAAACATCACAAAGAAGTTTCTCACAATGCTTCCGTGTAGTTCTGGGAAGTTTATCCCATTTCCAACGAAATCCTCAGAGAGGTCCAAATATCCACTTGCAGATTCTACAGAAAGTGTGTTTGGAAACTGCGCCATCTAAAGGAATGTTCAGCTCTGTTAGTTCAATGCAATGATCACTAAGAATTGTCTGTGAATGCTTCCGTTTGGTTTTTAGATGAAGTTATTTCCTTTACTACAGTAGGCCTCAAAGCAGTCCAAATCTCCAATCGCAGATTCTACAAAAAGATTGTTTACAACCTGCTCTATCTATAGGAATGTTCAACTCTGTGAGTCGAATGCAATCATCACAAAGTAGTTTCTGAGAATGCTTCCATCTAGTTTTTATGTGAAGATTTTCCTTTTCCACCACAGGCCTCAAAGCCCTCCAAATGTCCACTTGCAGATTCTAGAAAAAGAGGGTTTCAGAGCTGCTCTGTCAAGAGGAAAGTTCAATTCCTGAAGTGGAACACAAACATCACAAAGCAGTTTCTGAGAATGCTCCTGTTTAGTTTTTCTGTGAAGATGAACCCGTTTCCAACGAAATCTTCACAGAGGTCCACATATCCACTTGCAGAATCCAAAGAAAGAGAGTTTCAAAACTGCTCCATCAACAGGATTGTTCACCTCTGTGAGTTGAATGCAGTCATCACAGGAAACATTCTGGGAATGCTTCTGTCTAGGTTTGATGTGAAGATATACCCGTTTCGAAGGAAGGCCACAAAGTGGTCCAAATATCCACTTGCAGATTCTACAAAAAGAGTGTTTGAAAGCTGAACTATGAAAGCAAGGTTCAACTCTGTGAGTTGAATGCAAACATCACAAAGAATTTTCTCAGAATGCTTCCGTGTAGTTCTGGGAAGTTTATCCCGTTTCCAACGAAATCCTCAGAGAGGTCCAAATATCCACTTGCAGATTCTACAGAAAGTGTGTTTGGAAACTGCTCCATCTAAAGGAATGTTCAGCTCTGTTAGTTCAATCCAATGATCACTCAGAATTGTCTGTGAATGCTTCCGTTTGGTTTTTAGATGAAGTTATTTCCTTTACTACAGTAGGCCTCAAAGCAGTCCAAATCTCCAATCGCAGATTCTACAAAAAGATTGTTTACAACCTGCTCTATCTATAGGAATGTTCAACTCTGTGAGTCGAATGCAATCATCACAAAGTAGTTTCTGAGAATGCTTCCATCTAGTTTTTATGTGAAGATTTTCCTTTTCCACCACAGGCCTCAAAGCCCTCCAAATGTCCACTTGCAGATTCTAGAATAAGAGGGTTTCAGAGCTGCTCTGTCAAGAGGAAAGTTCAATTCCTGAAGTGGAACACAAACATCACAAAGCAGTTTCTGAGAATGCTTCTGTTTAGTTTTTCTGTGAAGATAAACCCGTTTCCAACGAAATCTTCACAGAGGTCCACATATCCACTTGCAGAATCCAAAGAAAGAGAGTTTCAAAACTGGTCCATCAGCAGGATTGTTCACCTCTGTGAGTTGAATGCAGTCATCACAGGAAACATTCTGAGAATGCTTCTGTCTAGGTTTGATGTGAAGATATACCCGTTTCGAAGGAAGGCCACAAAGTGGTCCTAATATCCACTTGCAGATTCTACAAAAAGAGTGTTTCAAAGCTGAACTATGAAAGCAAGGTTCAACTCTGTGAGTTGAATGCAAACATCACAAAGAAGTTTCTCAGAAAGCTTCCGTGTAGTTCTGGGAAGTTTATCCCGTTTCCAACGAAATCCTCAGAGAGGTCCAAATATCCACTTGCAGATTCTACAGAAAGTGTGTTTGGAAACTGCGCCATCTAAAGGAATGTTCAGCTCTGTTAGTTCAATCCAATGATCACTAAGAATTGTCTGTGAATGCTTCCGTTTGGTTTTTAGATGAAGTTATTTCCTTTACTACAGTAGGCCTCAAAGCAGTCCAAATCTCCAATCGCAGATTCTACAAAAAGATTGTTTACAACCTGCTCTATCTATAGGAATGTTCAACTCTGTGAGTCGAATGCAATCATCACAAAGTAGTTTCTGAGAATGCTTCCATCTAGTTTTTATGTGAAGATTTTCCTTTTCCACCACAGGCCTCAAAGCCCTCCAAATGTCCACTTGCAGATTCTAGAAAAAGAGGGTTTCAGAGCTGCTCTGTCAAGAGGAAAGTTCAATTCTTGAAGTGGAACACAAACATCACAAAGCAGTTTCTGAGAATGCTTCTGTTTAGTTTTTCTGTGAAGATGAACCCGTTTCCAACGAAATCTTCACAGAGGTCCACATATCAACTTGCAGAATCCAAAGAGAGAGAGTTTCAAAAGTGCCCCATCAACAGGATTGTTCACCTCTGTGAGTTGAATGCAGTCATCACAGGAAACATTCTGAGAATGCTTCTGTCTAGGTTTGATGTGAAGATATACCCGTTTCGAAGGAAGGCCACAAAGTGGTCCAAATATCCACTTGCAGATTCTACAAAAAGAGTGTTTGAAAGCTGAACTATGAAAGCAAGGTTCAACTCTGTGAGTTGAATGCAAACATCACAAAGAAGTTTCTCACAATGCTTCCCTGTATTTCTGGGAGGCATATCCCTTTTCCAACGAAATCCTCAGAGAAGTCCAAATATCCACTTGCAGATTCTACAGAAAGTGGGTTTGGAAACTGCTCCATCTAAAGGAATTTTCAGCTCTGTTAGTTCAATCCAATGATCACTAAGAATTTTGTGTGAATGCTT
Source organism: Homo sapiens (assembly GCF_000001405.40). NCBI lineage: Eukaryota > Metazoa > Chordata > Mammalia > Primates > Hominidae > Homo > Homo sapiens. The sequence continues at coordinate 52,269,479 of NC_000011.10, read as the reverse complement.
CCGTTTGGTTTTTAGATGAAGTTATATCCTTTACTACAGTAGGCCTCAAAGCAGTCCAAATCTCCAATCGCAGATTCTACAAAAAGATTGTTTACAACCTGCTCTATCTATAGGAATGTTCAACTCTGTGAGTCGAATGCAATCAACACAAAGTAGTTTCTGAGAATGCTTCCATCTAGTTTTTATGTGAAGATTTTCCTTTTCCACCACAGGCCTCAAAGCCCTCCAAATGTCCACTTGCAGATTCTAGAAAAAGAGGGTTTCAGAGCTGCTCTGTCAAGAGGAAAGTTCAATTGTTGAAGTGGAACACAAACATCACAAAGCAGTTTCTGAGAATGCTCCTGTTTAGTTTTTCTGTGAAGATGAACCCGTTTCCAACGAAATCTTCACAGAGGTCCACATATCCACTTGCAGAATCCAAAGAAAGAGAGTTTCAAAACTGCTCCATCAGCAGGATTGTTCACCTCTGTGAGTTGAATGCAGTCATCACAGGAAACATTCTGAGAATGCTTCTGTCTAGGTTTGATGTGAAGATATACCCTTTTCAAAGGAAGGCCACAAAGTGGTCCAAATATCCACTTGCAGATTCTACAAAAAGAGTGTTTGAAAGCTGAACTATGAAAGCAAGGTTCAACTCTGTGAGTTGAATGCAAACATCACAAAGAAGTTTCTCACAATGCTTCCGTGTAGTTCTGGGAAGTTTATCCCGTTTCCAACGAAATCCTCAGAGAGGTCCAAATATCCACTTGCAGATTCTACAGAAAGTGTGTTTGGAAACTGCGCCATCTAAAGGAATGTTCAGCTCTGTTAGTTCAATGCAATGATCACTAAGAATTGTCTGTGAATGCTTCCGTTTGGTTTTTAGATGAAGTTATTTCCTTTACTACAGTAGGCCTCAAAGCAGTCCAAATCTCCAATCGCAGATTCTACAAAAAGATTGTTTACAACCTGCTCTATGTATAGGAATGTTCAACTCTGTGAGTCGAATGCAATCATCACAAAGTAGTTTCTGAGAATGCTTCCATCTAGTTTTTATGTGAAGATTTTCCTTTTCCACCACAGGCCTCAAAGCCCTCCAAATGTCCACTTGCAGATTCTAGAAAAAGAGGGTTTCAGAGCTGCTCTGTCAAGAGGAAAGTTCAATTCTTGAAGTGGAACACAAACATCACAAAGTAGTTTCTGAGAATGCTTCTGTTTAGTTTTTCTGTGAAGATGAACCCGTTTCCAACGAAATCTTCACAGAGGTCCACATATCAACTTGCAGAATCCAAAGAAAGAGAGTTTCAAAAGTGCTCCATCAACAGGATTGTTCACCTCTGTGAGTTGAATGCAGTCATCACAGGAAACATTCTGAGAATGCTTCTGTCTAGGTTTGATGTGAAGATATACCCGTTTCGAAGGAAGGCCACAAAGTGGTCCAAATATCCACTTGCAGATTCTACAAAAAGAGTGTTTGAAAGCTGAACTATGAAAGCAAGGTTCAACTCTGTGAGTTGAATGCAAACATCACAAAGAAGTTTCTCAGAATGCTTCCGTGTAGTTCTGGGAAGTTTTCCCGTTTCCAACGAAATCCTCAGAGAAGTCCAAATATCCACTTGCAGATTCTACAGAAAGTGTGTTTGGAAACTGCTCCATCTAAAGGAATGTTCAGCTCTGTTAGTTCAATCCAATGATCACTAAGAATTGTCTGTGAATGCTTCCGTTTGGTTTTTAGATGAAGTTATTTCCTTTACTACAGTAGGCCTCAAAGCAGTCCAAATCTCCAATCGCAGATTCTACAAAAACATTGTTTACAACCTGCTCTATCTATAGGAATGTTCAACTCTGTGAGTCGAATGCAATCATCACAAAGTAGTTTCTGAGAATGCTTCCATCTAGTTTTTATGTGAAGATTTTCCTTTTCCACCACAGGCCTCAAAGCCCTCCAAATGTCCACTTGCAGATTCTAGAATAAGAGGGTTTCAGAGCTGCTCTGTCAAGAGGAAAGTTCAATTCCTGAAGTGGAACACAAACATCACAAAGCAGTTTCTGAGAATGCTTCTGTTTAGTTTTTCTGTGAAGATGAACCCGTTTCCAACGAAATCTTCACAGAGGTCCACATATCAACTTGCAGAATCCAAAGAAAGAGAGTTTCAACACTGCTCCATCAGCAGGATTGTTCACCTCTGTGAGTTGAATGCAGTCATCACAGGAAACATTCTGAGAATGCTTCTGTCTAGGTTTGATGTGAAGATATACCCGTTTCGAAGGAAGGCCACAAAGTGGTCCAAATATCCACTTGCAGATTCTACAAAAAGAGTGTTTGAAAGCTGAACTATGAAAGCAAGCTTCAACTCTGTGAGTTGAATGCAAACATCACAAAGAAGTTTCTCAGAATGCTTCCGTGTAGTTCTGGGAAGTTTATCCCTTTTCCAACGAAATCCTCAGAGAGGTCCAAATATCCACTTGCAGATTCTACAGAAAGTGTGTTTGGAAACTGCGCCATCTAAAGGAATGTTCAGCTCTGTTAGTTCAATGCAATGATCACTAAGTATTGTCTGTGAATGCTTCCGTTTTGTTTTTACATGAAGTTATTTCCTTTACGACAGTAGGCCTCAAAGCAGTCCAAATCTCCAATCGCATATTCTACAAAAAGATTGTTTACAACCTGCTCTATCTATAGGAATGTTCAACTCTGTGAGTCGAATGCAATCATCGCAAAGTAGTTTCTGAGAATGCTTCCATCTAGTTTTTATGTGAAGATTTTCCTTTTCCACCACAGGCCTCAAAGCCTTCCAAATGTCCACTTGCAGATTCTAGAATAAGAGGGTTTCAGAGCTGCTCTGTCAAGAGGAAAGTTCAATTCCTGAAGTGGAACACAAACATAACAAAGCAGTTTCTGAGAATGCTTCTGTTTAGTTTTTCTGTGACGATGAACCCGTTTCCAACGAAATCTTCACAGAGGTCCACATATCCACTTGCAGAATCCAAAGAAAGAGAGTTTGAAAACTGCTCCATCAGCAGGATTGTTCACCTCTGTGAGTTGAATGCAGTCATCACAGGAAACATTCTGAGAATGCTTCTGTCTAGGTTTGATGTGAAGATATACCCGTTTCGAAGGAAGGCCACATAGTGGTCCAAATATCCACTTGCAGATTCTACAAAAAGAGTATTTGAAAGCTGAACTATGAAAGCAAGGTTCAACTCTGTGAGTTGAATGCAAACATCACAAAGAAGTTTCTCAGAATGCTTCCGTGTAGTTCTGGGAAGTTTATCCCTTTTCCAACGAAATCCTCAGAGAGGTCCAAATATCCACTTGCAGATTCTACAGAAAGTGTGTTTGGAAACTGCGCCATCTAAAGGAATGTTCAGCTCTGTTAGTTCAATGCAATGATCACTAAGAATTGTCTGTGAATGCTTCCGTTTGGTTTTTAGATGAAGTTATTTCCTTTACTACAGTAGGCCTCAAAGCAGTCCAAATCTCCAATCGCAGATTCTACAAAAAGATTGTTTACAACCTGCTCTATGTATAGGAATGTTCAACTCTGTGAGTCGAATGCAATCATCACAAAGTAGTTTCTGAGAATGCTTCCATCTAGTTTTTATGTGAAGATTTTCCTTTTCCACCACAGGCCTCAAAGCCCTCCAAATGTCCACTTGCAGATTCTAGAATAAGAGGGTTTCAGAGCTGCTCTGTCAAGAGGAAAGTTCAATTCCTGAAGTGGAACGCAAACATCACAAAGCAGTTTCTGAGAATGCTTCTGTTTAGTTTTTCTGTGAAGATGAACCCGTTTCCAACGAAATCTTCACAGAGGTCCACATATCAACCTGCAGAATCCAAAGAAAGAGAGTTTCAAAACTGCTCCATCAACAGGATTGTTCACCTCTGTGAGTTGAATGCAGTCATCACAGGAAACATTCTGAGAATGCTTCTGTCTAGGTTTGATGTGAAGATATACCCGTTTCGAAGGAAGGCCACAAAGTGGTCCAAATATCCACTTGCAGATTCTACAAAAAGAGTGTTTGAAAGCTGAACTATGAAAGCAAGGTTCAACTCTGTGATTTGAATGCAAACATCACAAAGAAGTTTCTCACAATGCTTCCGTGTAGTTCTGGGAAGTTTATCCCGTTTCCAACGAAATCCTCAGAGAAGTCCAAATATCCACTTGCAGATTCTACAGAAAGTGTGTTTGGAAACTGCTCCATCTAAAGGAATGTTCAGCTCTGTTAGTTCAATCCAATGATCACTAAGAATTGTCTGTGAATGCTTCCGTTTGGTTTTTAGATGAAGTTATTTCCTTTACTACAGTAGGCCTCAAAGCAGTCCAAATCTCCAATCTCAGATTCTACAAAAAGATTGTTTACAACCTGCTCTATCTTTAGGAATGTTCAACTCTGTGAGTCGAATGCAATCATCACAAAGTAGTTTCTGAGAATGCTTCCATCTAGTTTTTATGTGAAGATTTTCCTTTTCCACCACAGGCCTCAAAGCCCTCCAAATGTCCACTTGCAGATTCTAGAATAAGAGGATTTCAGAGCTGCTCTGTCAAGAGGAAAGTTCAATTCCTGAAGTGGAACACAAACATCACAAAGCAGTTTCTGAGAATGCTTCTGTTTAGTTTTTCTGTGAAGATGAACCCGTTTCCAACGAAATCTTCACAGAGGTCCACATATCCACTTGCAGAATCCAAAGAAAGAGAGTTTCAAAACTGCTCCATCAGCAGGATTGTTCACCTCTGTGAGTTGAATGCAGTCATCACAGGAAACATTCTGAGAATGCTTCTGTCTAGGTTTGATGTGAAGATATACCCGTTTCGAAGGAAGGCCACAAAGTGGTCCAAATATCCACTTGCAGATTCTACAAAAAGAGTGTTTGAAAGCTGAACTATGAAACCAAGGTTCAACTCTGTGAGTTGAATGCAAACATCACAGAGAAGTTTCTCAGAATGCTTCCGTGTAGTTCTGGGAAGTTTATCCTGTTTCCAACGAAATCCTCAGAGAGGTCTAAATATCCAGTTGCAGATTCTACAGAAAGTGTGTTTGGAAACTGCGCCATCTAAAGGAATGTTCAGCTCTGTTAGTTCAATCCAATGATCACTAAGAATTGTCTGTGAATGCTTCCGTTTGGTTTTTAGATGAAGTTATTTCCTTTACTACAGTAGGCCTCAAAGCTGTCCAAATCTCTAATCGCAGATTCTACAAAAAGATTGTTTACAACCTGGTCTCTCTATAGGAATGTTCAACTCTGTGAGTCGAATGCAATCATCACAAAGTAGTTTCTGAGAATGCTTCCATCTAGTTTTTATGTGAAGATTTTCCTTTTCCACCACAGGCCTCAAAGCCCTCCAAATGTCCACTTGCAGATTCTAGAATAAGAGGGTTTCAGAGCTGCTCTGTCAAGAGGAAAGTTCAATTCCTGAAGTGGAACACAAACATCACAAAGCAGTTTCTGAGTATGCTTCTGTTTAGTTTTTCTGTGAAGATGAACCCGTTTCCAACGAAATCTTCACAGAGGTCCACATATCCACTTGCAGAATCCAAAGAAGGAGAGTTTCAAAACTGCTCCATCAGCAGGATTGTTCACCTCTGTGAGTTGAATGCAGTCATCACAGGAAACATTCTGAGAATGCTTCTGTCTAGGTTTGATGTGAAGATATACCCGTTTCGAAGGAAGGCCACAAAGTGGTCCAAATATCCACTTGCAGATTCTACAAAAAGAGTGTTTGAAAGCTGAACTATGAAAGCAAGGTTCAACTCTGTGAGTTGAATGCAAACATCACAAAGAAGTTTCTCACAATGCTTCCGTGTAGTTCTGGGAAGTTTATCCCGTTTCCAATGAAATCCTCAGAGAGGTCCAAATATCCACTTGCAGATTCTACAGAAAGTGTGTTTGGAAACTGCGCCATCTAAAGGAATGTTCAGCTCTGTTAGTTCAATGCAATGATCACTAAGAATTGTCTGTGAATGCTTCCGTTTGGTTTTTAGATGAAGTTATTTCCTTTACTACAGTAGGCCTCAAAGCAGTCCAAATCTCCAATCGCAGATTCTACAAAAAGATTGTTTACAACCTGCTCTATCTATAGGAATGTTCAACTCTGTGAGTCGAATGCAATCATCACAAAGTAGTTTCTGAGAATGCTTCCATCTAGTTTTTATGTGAAGATTTTCCTTTTCCACCACAGGCCTCAAAGCCCTCCAAATGTCCACTTGCAGATTCTAGAAAAAGAGGGTTTCAGAGCTGCTCTGTCAAGAGGAAAGTTCAATTCTTGAAGTGGAACACAAACATCACAAAGCAGTTTCTGAGAATGCTCCTGTTTAGTTTTTCTGTGAAGATGAACCCGTTTCCAACGAAATCTTCACAGAGGTCCACATATCCACTTGCAGAATCCAAAGAAAGAGAGTTTCAAAACTGCTCCATCAGCAGGATTGTTCACCTCTGTGAGTTGAATGCAGTCATCACAGGAAACATTCTGAGAATGCTTCTGTCTAGGTTTGATGTGAAGATATACCCTTTTCAAAGGAAGGCCACAAAGTGGTCCAAATATCCACTTGCAGATTCTACAAAAAGAGTGTTTGAAAGCTGAACTATGAAAGCAAGGTTCAACTCTGTGAGTTGAATGCAAACATCACAAAGAAGTTTCTCACAATGCTTCCGTGTAGTTCTGGGAAGTTTATCCCGTTTCCAACGAAATCCTCAGAGAAGTCCAAATATCCACTTGCAGATTCTACAGAAAGTGGGTTTGGCAACTGCTCCATCTAAAGGAATGTTCAGCTCTGTTAGTTCAATCCAATGATCACTAAGAATTGTCTGTGAATGCTTCCGTTTGGTTTTTAGATGAAGTTATTTCCTTTACTACAGTAGGCCTCAAAGCAATCCAAATCTCCAATCGCAGATTCTACAAAAACATTGTTTACAACCTGCTCTATCTATAGGAATGTTCAACTCTGTGAGTCGAATGCAATCATCACAAAGTAGTTTCTGAGAATGCTTCTATCTAGTTTTTATGTGAAGATTTTCCTTTTCCACCACAGGCCTCAAAGCCCTCCAAATGTCCACTTGCAGATTCTAGAAAAAGAGGGTTTCAGAGCTGCTCTGTCAAGAGGAAAGTTCAATTCTTGAAGTGGAACTCAAGCATCACAAAGCAGTTTCTGAGAATGCTTCTGTTTAGTTTTTCTGTGAAGATGAACCCGTTTCCAACGAAATCTTCACAGAGGTCCACATATCCACTTGCAGAATCCAAAGAAAGAGAGTTTCAAAACTGCTCCATCAGCAGGATTGTTCACCTCTGTGAGTTGAATGCAGTCATCACAGGAAACATTCTGAGAATGCTTCTGTCTAGGTTTGATGTGAAGATATACCCGTTTCGAAGGAAGGCCACAAAGTGGTCCAAATATCCACTTGCAGATTCTACAAAAAGAGTGTTTGAAAGCTGAACTATGAAAGCAAGGTTCAACTCTGTGAGTTGAATGCAAACATCACAAAGAAGTTTCTCACAATGCTTCCGTGTAGTTCTGGGAAGTTTATCCCGTTTCCAACGAAATCCTCAGAGAAGTCCAAATATCCACTTGCAGATTCTACAGAAAGTGTGTTTGGAAACTGCTCCATCTAAAGGAATGTTCAGCTCTGTTAGTTCAATCCAATGATCACTAAGAATTGTCTGTGAATGCTTCCGTTTGGTTTTTAGATGAAGTTATTTCCTTTACTACAGTAGGCCTCAAAGCAGTCCAAATCTCCAATCGCAGATTCTACAAAAAGATTGTTTACAACCTGCTCTATCTATAGGAATGTTCAACTCTGTGAGTCGAATGCAATCATCACAAAGTAGTTTCTGAGAATGCTTCCATCTAGTTTTTATGTGAAGATTTTCCTTTTCCACCACAGGCCTCAAAGCCCTCCAAATGTCCACTTGCAGATTCTAGAATAAGAGGGTTTCAGAGCTGCTCTGTCAAGAGGAAAGTTCAATTCCTGAAGTGGAACACAAACATCACAAAGCAGTTTCTGAGAATGCTCCTGTTTAGTTTTTCTGTGAAGATGAACCCGTTTCCAACGAAATCTTCACAGAGGTCCACATATCCACTTGCAGAATCCAAAGAAAGGGAGTTTCAAAACTGCTCCATCAGCAGGATTGTTCACCTCTGTGAGTTGAATGCAGTCATCACAGGAAACATTCTGAGAATGCTTCTGTCTAGGTTTGATGTGAAGATATACCCGTTTCGAAGGAAGGCCACAAAGTGGTCCAAATATCCACTTGCAGATTCTACAAAAAGAGTGTTTGAAAGCTGAACTATGAAAGCAAGGTTCAACTCTGTGAGTTGAATGCAAACATCACAAAGAAGTTTCTCAGAATACTTCCGTGTAGTTCTGGGAAGTTTATCCCGTTTCCAACGAAATCCTCAGAGAAGTCCAAATATCCACTTGCAGATTCTACAGAAAGTGTGTTTGGAAAATGCTCCATCTACAGGAATGTTCAGCTCTGTTAGTTCAATGCAATGATCACTAAGAATTGTCTGTGAATGCTTCCGTTTGGTTTTTAGATGAAGTTATTTCCTTTACTACAGTAGGCCTCAAAGCAGTCCAAATCTCCAATCGCAGATTCTACAAAAAGATTGTTTACAACCTGCTCTATCTATAGGAATGTTCAACTCTGTGAGTCGAATGCAATCATCACAAAGTAGTTTCTGAGAATGCTTCCATCTAGTTTTTATGTGAAGATTTTCCTTTTCCACCACAGGCCTCAAAGCCCTCCAAATGTCCACTTGCAGATTCTAGAAAAAGAGGGTTTCAGAGCTGCTCAGTCAAGAGGAAAGTTCAATTCCTGAAGTGGAACACAAACATCACAAAGCAGTTTCTGAGAATGCTTCTGTTTAGTTTTTCTGTGAAGATGAACCCGTTTCCAACGAAATCTTCACAGAGGTCCACATATCCACTTGCAGAATCCAAAGAAAGAGAGTTTCAAAACTGCTCCATCAACAGGATTGTTCACCTCTGTGAGTTGAATGCAGTCATCACAGGAAACATTCTGAGAATGCTTCTGTCTAGGTTTGATGTGAAGATATACCCGTTTCGAAGGAAGGCCACAAAGTGGTCCAAATATCCACTTGCAGATTCTACAAAAAGAGTGTTTGAAAGCTGAACTATGAAAGCAAGGTTCAACTCTGTGAGTTGAATGCAAACATCACAAAGAAGTTTCTCAGAATGCTTCCGTGTAGTTCTGGGAAGTTTATCCCGTTTCCAACGAAATCCTCAGAGAAGTCCAAATATCCACTTGCAGATTCTACAGAAAGTGTGTTTGGAAACTGCGCCATCTAAAGGAATGTTCAGCTCTGTTAGTTCAATGCAATGATCACTAAGAATTGTCTGTGAATGCTTCCGTTTGGTTTTTAGATGAAGTTATTTCCTTTACTACAGTAGGCCTCAAAGCAGTCCAAATCTCCAATCGCAGATTCTACAAAAAGATTGTTTACAACCTGCTCTATCTATAGGAATGTTCAACTCTGTGAGTCGAATGCAATCATCACAAAGTAGTTTCTGAGAATGCTTCCATCTAGTTTTTATGTGAAGATTTTCCTTTTCCACCACAGGCCTCAAAGCCCTCCAAATGTCCACTTGCAGATTCTAGAAAAAGAGGGTTTCAGAGCTGCTCTGTCAAGAGGAAAGTTCAATTCTTGAAGTGGAACACAAACATCACAAAGCAGTTTCTGAGAATGTTTCTGTTTAGTTTTTCTGTGAAGATGAACCCGTTTCCAACGAAATCTTCACAGAGGTCCACATATCCACTTGCAGAATCCAAAGAAAGAGAGTTTCAAAACTGCTCCATCAGCAGGATTGTTCACCTCTGTGAGTTGAATGCAGTCATCACAGGAAACATTCTGAGAATGCTTCTGTCTAGGTTTGATGTGAAGATATACCCGTTTCGAAGGAAGGCCACAAAGTGGTCCAAATATCCACTTGCAGATTCCACAAAAAGAGTGTTTGAAAGCTGAACTATGAAAGCAAGGTTCAACTCTGTGAGTTGAATGCAAACATCACAAAGAAGTTTCTCACAATGCTTTCCGTGTAGTTCTGGGAAGTTTATCCCTTTTCCAACGAAATCCTCAGAGAGGTCCAAATATCCACTTGCAGATACTACAGAAAGTGTGTTTGGAAACTGCTCCATCTAAAGGAATGTTCAGCTCTGTTAGTTCAATCCAATGATCACTAAGAATTGTCTGTGAATGCTTCCGTTTGGTTTTTAGATGAAGTTATTTCCTTTACTACAGTAGGCCTCAAAGCAGTCCAAATCTCCAATCGCAGATTCTACAAAAAGATTGTTTACAACCTGCTCTATCTATAGGAATGTTCAACTCTGTGAGTCGAATGCAATCATCACAAAGTAGTTTCTGAGAATGCTTCCATCTAGTTTTTATGTGAAGATTTTCCTTTTCCACCACAGGCCTCAAAGCCCTCCAAATGTCCACTTGCAGATTCTAGAATAAGAGGGTTTCAGAGCTGCTCCGTTAAGAGGAAAGTTCAATTCCTGAAGTGGAACACAAACATCACAAAGCAGTTTCTGAGAATGCTCCTGTTTAGTTTTTCTGTGAAGATGAACCCGTTTCCAACGAAATCTTCACAGAGGTCCACATATCCACTTGCAGAATCCAAAGAAAGGGAGTTTCAAAACTGCTCCATCAGCAGGATTGTTCACCTCTGTGAGTTGAATGCAGTCATCACAGGAAACATTCTGAGAATGCTTCTGTCTAGGTTTGATGTGAAGATATACCCGTTTCGAAGGAAGGCCACAAAGTGGTCCAAATATCCACTTGCAGATTCTACAAAAAGAGTGTTTGAAAGCTGAACTATGAAAGCAAGGTTCAACTCTGTGAGTTGAATGCAAACATCACAAAGAAGTTTCTCAGAATGCTTCCGTGTAGTTCTGGGAAGTTTATCCCGTTTCCAACGAAATCCTCAGAGAAGTCCAAATATCCACTTGCAGATTCTACAGAAAGTGGGTTTGGAAACTGCTCCATCTAAAGGAATGTTCAGCTCTGTTAGTTCAATCCAATGATCACTAAGAATTGTCTGTGAATGCTTCCGTTTGGTTTTTAGATGAAGTTATTTCCTTTACTACAGTAGGCCTCAAAGCAGTCCAAATCTCCAATCGCAGATTCTACAAAAAGATTGTTTACAACCTGCTCTATCTATAGGAATGTTCAACTCTGTGAGTCGAATGCAATCATCACAAAGTAGTTTCTGAGAATGCTTCCATCTAGTTTTTATGTGAAGATTTTCCTTTTGCACCACAGGCCTCAAAGCCCTGCAAATGTCCACTTGCAGATTCTAGAAAAAGAGGGTTTCAGAGCTGCTCTGTCAAGAGGAAAGTTCAATTCTTGAAGTGGAACACAAGCATCACAAAGCAGTTTCTGAGAATGCTTCTGTTTAGTTTTTCTGTGAAGATGAACCCGTTTCCAACGAAATCTTCACAGAGGTCCACATATCCACTTGCAGAATCCAAAGAAAGAGAGTTTCAAAACTGCTCCATCAACAGGATTGTTCACCTCTGTGAGTTGAATGCAGTCATCACAGGAAACATTCTGAGAATGCTTCTGTCTAGGTTTGATGTGAAGATATACCCGTTTCGAAGGAAGGCCACAAAGTGGTCCAAATATCCACTTGCAGATTCTACAAAAAGAGTGTTTGAAAGCTGAACTATGAAAGCAAGGTTCAACTCTGTGAGTTGAATGCAAACATCACAAAGAAGTTTCTCAGAATGCTTCCGTGTAGTTCTGGGAAGTTTATCCCGTTTCCAACGAAATCCTGAGAGATGTCCAAATATCCACTTGCAGATTCTACAGAAAGTGTGTTTGGAAACTGCGCCATCTAAAGGAATGTTCATCTCTGTTAGTTCAATGCAATGATCACTAAGAATTGTCTGTGAATGCTTCCGTTTGGTTTTTAGATGAAGTTATTTCCTTTACTACAGTAGGCCTCAAAGCAGTCCAAATCTCCAATCGCAGATTCTACAAAAACATTGTTTACAACCTGCTCTCTCTATAGGAATGTTCAACTCTGTGAGTCGAATGCAATCATCACAAAGTAGTTTCTGAGAATGCTTCCATCTAGTTTTTATGTGAAGATTTTCCTTTTCCACCACAGGCCTCAAAGCCCTCCAAATGTCCACTTGCAGATTCTAGAATAAGAGGGTTTTAGAGCTGCTCTGTCAAGAGGAAAGTTCAATTCCTGAAGTGGAACACAAACATCACAAAGCAGTTTCTGAGAATGCTCCTGTTTAGTTTTTCTGTGAAGATGAACCCGTTTCCAACGAAATCTTAACAGATGTCCACATATCCACTTGCAGAATCCAAAGAAAGAGAGTTTCAAAACTGGTCCATCAGCAGGATTGTTCACCTCTGTGAGTTGAATGCAGTCATCACAGGAAACATTCTGAGAATGCTTCTGTCTAGGTTTGATGTGAAGATATACCCGTTTCGAAGGAAGGCCACAAAGTGGTCCAAATATCCACTTGCAGATTCTACAAAAAGAGTGTTTGAAAGCTGAACTATGAAAGCAAGGTTCAACTCTGTGAGTTGAATGCAAAAATCACAAAGAAGTTTCTCAGAATACTTCCGTGTAGTTCTGGGAAGTTTATCCCGTTTCCAACGAAATCTTCAGAGAGGTCCAAATATCCAGTGGCAGATTCTACAGAAAGTGTGTTTGGAAACTGCGCCATCTAAAGGAATGTTCAGCTCTGTTAGTTCAATCCAATGATCACTAAGAATTGTCTGTGAATGCTTCCGTTTGGTTTTTAGATGAAGTTATTTCCTTTACTGCAGTAGGCCTCAAAGCATTCCAAATCTCGAATCGCAGATTCTACAAAAAGATTGTTTACAACCTGCTCTATCTATAGGAATGTTCAACTCTGTGAGTCGAATGCAATCATCACAAAGTAGTTTCTGAGAATGCTTCCATCTAGTTTTTATGTGAAGATTTTCCTTTTCCACCACAGGCCTCAAAGTCCTCCAAATGTACACTTGCTGATTCTAGAAAAAGAGGGTTTCAGAGCTGCTCTGTCAAGAGGAAAGTTCAATTCTTGAAGTGGAACACAAACATCACAAAGCAGTTTCTGAGAATGCTCCTGTTTAGTTTTTCTGTGAAGATGAACCCGTTTCCAACGAAATCTTCACAGAGGTCCACATATCCACTTGCAGAATCCAAAGAAAGAGAGTTTCAAAACTGCTCCATCAGCAGGATTGTTCACCTCTGTGAGTTGAATGCAGTCATCACAGGAAACATTCTGAGAATGCTTCTGTCTAGGTTTGATGTGAAGATATACCCGTTTCGAAGGAAGGCCACAAAGTGTTCCAAATATCCACTTGCAGATTCTACAAAAAGAGTGTTTGAAAGCTGAACTATGAAAGCAAGGTTCAACTCTGTGAGTTGACTGCAAACATCCCAAAGAAGTTTCTCAGAATACTTCCGTGTAGTTCTGGGAAGTTTTTCCCGTTTCCAACGAAATCCTCAGAGAGGTCCAAATATCCACTTGCAGATTCTACAGAAAGTGTGTTTGGAAACTGCGCCATCTAAAGGAATGTTCAGCTCTGTTAGTTCAATCCAATGATCACTAAGAATTGTCTGTGAATCCTTCCGTTTGGTTTTTAGATGAAGTTATTTCCTTTACTACAGTAGGCCTCAAAGCAGTCCAAATCTCCAATCGCAGATTCTACAAAAAGATTGTTTACAAACAGCTCTATCTATAGGAATGTTCAACTCTGTGAGTCGAATGCAATCATCACAAAGTAGTTTCTGAGAATGCTTCCATCTAGTTTTTATGTGAAGATTTTCCTTTTCCACCACAGGCCTCAAAGCCCTCCAAATGTCCACTTGCAGATTCTAGAAAAAGAGGGTTTCAGAGCTGCTCTGTCAAGAGGAAATTTCAATTCTTGAAGTGGAACACAAACATCACAAAGCAGTTTCTGAGAATGCTGTCTGTTTAGTTTTTCTGTGAAGATGAACCCGTTTCCAACGAAATCTTCACAGAGGTCCACATATCCACTTGCAGAGTCCAAAGAAAGAGAGTTTCAAAACTGCTCCATCAGCAGGATTGTTCACCTCTGTGAGTTGAATGCAGTCATCACAGGAAACATTCTGAGAAGGCTTCTGTCAAGGTTTGATGTGAAGATATACCCGTTTCGAAGGAAGACCACAAAGTGGTCAAAATATCCACTTGCAGATTCTACAAAAAGAGTGTTTGAAAGCTGAACTATGAAAGCAAGGTTCAACTCTGTGAGTTGAATGCAAACATCACAAAGAAGTTTCTCAGAATACTTCCGTGTAGTTCTGGGAAGTTTATCCCGTTTCCAAGGAAATCCTCAGAGAGGTCCAAATATCCACTTGCAGATTCTACAGAAAGTGTGTTTGGAAACTGCGCCATCTAAAGGAATGTTCAGCTCTGTTAGTTCAATGCAATGATCACTAAGAATTGTCTGTGAATGCTTCCGTTTGGTTTTTAGATGAAGTTATTTCCTTTACTACAGTAGGCCTCAAAGCAGTCCAAATCTCCAATCGCAGATTCTACAAAAAGATTGTTTACAACCTGCTCTATCTATAGGAATGTTCAACTCTGTGAGTCGAATGCAATCATCACAAAGTAGTTTCTGAGAATGCTTCCATCTAGTTTTTATGTGAAGATTTTCCTTTTCCACCACAGGCCTCAAAGCCCTCCAAATGTCCACTTGCAGATTCTAGAAAAAGAGGGTTTCAGAGCTGCTCTGTCAAGAGGAAAGTTCAATTCTTGAAGTGGAACACAAACATCACAAAGCAGTTTCTGAGAATGCTCCTGTTTAGTTTTTCTGTGAAGATGAACCCGTTTCCAACGAAATCTTCACAGAGGTCCACATATCCACTTGCAGAATCCAAAGAAAGAGAGTTTCAAAACTGCTCCATCAGCAGGATTGTTCACCTCTGTGAGTTGAATGCAGTCATCACAGGAAACATTCTGAGAATGCTTCTGTCTAGGTTTGATGTGAAGATATACCCGTTTCGAAGGAAGGCCACAAAGTGGTCCAAATATCCACTTGCAGATTCTACAAAAAGAGTGTTTGAAAGCTGAACTATGAAAGCAAGGTTCAACTCTATGAGTTGAATGGAAACATCACAAAGAAGTTTCTCAGAATGCTTCCGTGTAGTTCTGGGAAGTTTATCCCGTTTCCAACGAAATCCTCAGAGAGGTCCAAATATCCACTTGCAGATTCTACAGAAAGTGTGTTTGGAAACTGCGCCATCTAAAGGAATGTTCAGCTCTGTTAGTTCAATGCAATGATCACTAAGAATTGTCTGTGAATGCTTCCGTTTGGTTTTTAGATGAAGTTATTTCCTTTACTACAGTAGGCCTCAAAGCAGTCCAAATCTCCAATCGCAGATTCTACAAAAAGATTGTTTACAACCTGCTCTATCTATAGGAATGTTCAACTCTGTGAGTCGAATGCAATCATCACAAAGTAGTTTCTGAGAATGCTTCCATCTAGTTTTTATGGGAAGATTTTCCTTTTCCACCACAGGCCTCAAAGCCCTCCAAATGTCCACTTGCAGATTCTAGAAAAAGAGGGTTTCAGAGCTGCTCTGTCAAGAGGAAAGTTCAATTCTTGAAGTGGAACACAAACATCACAAAGCAGTTTCTGAGAATGCTTCTGTTTAGTTTTTCTGTGAAGATGAACCCGTTTTCAACGAAATCTTCACAGAGGTCCACATATCCACTTGCAGAATCCAAAGAAAGAGAGTTTCAAAACTGCTCCATCAGCAGGATTGTTCACCTCTGTGAGTTGAATGCAGTCATCACAGGAAACATTCTGAGAATGCTTCTGTCTAGGTTTGATGTGAAGATATACCCGTTTCGAAGGAAGGCCACAAAGTGGTCCAAATATCCACTTGCAGATTCTACAAAAAGAGTGTTTGAAAGCTGAACTATGAAAGCAAGGTTCAACTCTGTGAGTTGAATGCAAACATCACAAAGAAGTTTCTCAGAATGCTTCCGTGTAGTTCTGGGAAGTTTATCCCGTTTCCAACGAAATCCTCAGAGAAGTCCAAATATCCACTTGCAGATTTTACAAAAAGAGTGTTTGAAAGCTGAACTATGAAAGCAAGGTTCAACTCTGTGAGTTGAATGCAAACATCACAAAGAAGTTTCTCACAATGCTTCCGTGTAGTTCTGGGAAGTTTATCTCGTTTCCAACGAAATCCTCAGAGAAGTCCAAATATCCACTTGCAGATTCTACAGAAAGTGGGTTTGGAAACTGTGCCATCTAAAGGAATGTTCAGCTCTGTTAGTTCAATCCAATAGATCACTAAGAATTGTCTGTGAATGCTTCCGTTTGGTTTTTAGATGAAGTTATTTCCTTTACTACAGTAGGCCTCAAAGCAGTCCAAATCTCCAATGGCAGATTCTACAAAAAGATTGTTTACAACCTGCTCTATCTATAGGAATGTTCAACTCTGTGAGTCGAATGCAATCATCACAAAGTAGTTTCTGAGAATGCTTCCATCTAGTTTTTATGTGAAGATTTTCCTTTTCCACCACAGGCCTCAAAGCCCTCCAAATGTCCACTTGCAGATTCTAGAATAAGAGGGTTTCAGAGCTGCTCTGTCAAGAGGAAAGTTCAATTCCTGAAGTGGAACACAAACATCACAAAGCAGTTTCTGAGAATGCTTCTGTTTAGTTTTTCTGTGAAGATGAACCCGTTTCCAACGAAATCTTCACAGAGGTCCACATATCCACTTGCAGAATCCAAAGAAAGAGAGTTTCAAAACTGCTCCATCAGCAGGATTGTTCACCTCTGTGAGTTGAATGCAGTCATCACAGGAAACATTCTGAGAATGCTTCTGTCTAGGTTTGATGTGAAGATATACCCGTTTCGAAGGAAGGCCACAAAGTGGTCCAAATATCCACTTGCAGATTCTACAAAAAGAGTGTTTGAAAGCTGAACTATGAAAGCAAGGTTCAACTCTGTGAGTTGAATGCAAACATCACAAAGAAGTTTCTCAGAATGCTTCCGTGTAGTTCTGGGAAGTTTATCCCGTTTCCAACGAAATCCTCAGAGAGGTCCAAATATCCACTTGCAGATTCTACAGAAAGTGTGTTTGGAAACTGCTCCATCTAAAGGAATGTTCAGCTCTGTTAGTTCAATCCAATGATCACTAAGAATTGTCTGTGAATGCTTCCGTTTGGTTTTTAGATGAAGTTATTTCCTTTACTACAGTAGGCCTCAAAGCAGTCCAAATCTCCAATCGCAGATTCTACAAAAAGATTGTTTACAACCTGCTCTATCTATAGGAATGTTCAACTCTGTGAGTCGAATGCAATCATCACAAAGTAGTTTCTGAGAATGCTTCCATCTAGTTTTTATGTGAAGATTTTCCTTTTCCACCACAGGCCTCAAAGCCCTCCAAATGTCCACTTGCAGATTCTAGAAAAAGAGGGTTTCAGAGCTGCTCTGTCAAGAGGAAAGTTCAATTCTTGAAGTGGAACACAAACATCACAAAGCAGTTTCTGAGAATGTTTCTGTTTAGTTTTTCTGTGAAGATGAACCCGTTTCCAACGAAATCTTCACAGAGGTCCACATATCCACTTGCAGAATCCAAAGAAAGAGAGTTTCAAAACTGCTCCATCAACAGGATTGTTCACCTCTGTGAGTTGAATGCAGTCATCACAGGAAACATTCTGAGAATGCTTCTGTCTAGGTTTGATGTGAAGATATACCCGTTTCGAAGGAAGGCCACAAAGTGGTCCAAATATCCACTTGCAGATTCTACAAAAAGAGTGTTTGAAAGCTGAACTATGAAAGCAAGTTTCAACTCTGTGAGTTGAATGCAAACATCACAAAGAAGTTTCTCAGAATGCTTCCGTGTAGTTCTGGGAAGCATATCCCGTTTCCAACGAAATCCTCAGAGAGGTCCAAATATCCACTTGCATATTCTACAGAAAGTGGGTTTGGAAACTGCTCCATCTAAAGGAATGTTCAGCTCTGTTAGTTCAATCCAATGATCACTAAGCATTGTCAGTGAATGCTTCCGTTTGGTTTTTAGATGAAGTTATTTCCTTTACTACAGTAGGCCTCAAAGCAGTCCAAATCTCCAATCGCAGATTCTACAAAAAGATTGTTTACAACCTACTCTATCTATAGGAATGTTCAACTCTGTGAGTCGAATGCAATCATCACAAAGAAGTTTCTGAGAATGCTTCCATAAAGTTTTTATGTGAAGATTTTCCTTTTCCACCACAGGCCTCAAAGCCCTCCAAATGTCCACTTGCAGATTCTAGAAAAAGAGGGTTTCAGAGCTGCTCTGTCAAGAGGAAAGTTCAATTCTTTAAGTGGAACACAAACATCACAAAGCAGTTTCTGAGAATGCTCCTGTTTAGTTTTTCTGTGAAGATGAACCCGTTTCCAACGAAATCTTCACAGAGGTCCACATATCCACTTGCAGAATCCAAAGAAAGAGAGTTTCAAAACTGCTCCATCAGCAGGATTGTTCACCTCTGTGAGTTGAATGCAGTCATCACAGGAAACATTCTGAGAATGCTTCTGTCTAGGTTTGATGTGAAGATATACCCGTTTCGAAGGAAGGCCACAAAGTGGTCCAAATATCCACTTGCAGATTCTACAAAAAGAGTGTTTGAAAGCTGAACTATGAAAGCAAGGTTCAACTCTGTGAGTTGAATGCAAACATCACAAAGAAGTTTCTCAGAATGCTTCCGTGTAGTTCTGGGAAGCATATCCCGTTTCCAACGAAATCCTCAGAGAAGTCCAAATATCCACTTGCAGATTCTACAGAAAGTGGGTTTGGAAACTGCTCCATCTAAAGGAATGTTCAGCTCTGTTAGTTCAATCCAATGATCACTAAGAATTGTCTGTGAATGCTTCCGTTTGGTTTTTAGATGAAGTTATTTCCTTTACTACAGTAGGCCTCAAAGCAGTCCAAATCTCCAATCGCAGATTCTACAAAAAGATTGTTTACAACCTGCTCTATCTATAGGAATGTTCAACTCTGTGAGTCGAATGCAATCATCACAAAGTAGTTTCTGAGAATGCTTCCATCTAGTTTTCATGTGAAGATTTTCCTTTTCCACCACAGGCCTCAAAGCCCTCCAAATGTCCACTTGCAGATTCTAGAAAAAGAGGGTTTCAGAGCTGCTCTGTCAAGAGGAAAGTTCAATTCTTGAAGTGGAACACAAACCTCACAAAGCAGTTTCTGAGAATGATTCTGTTTAGTTTTTCTTTGAAGATGAACACTTTTCCAAGGAAATCTTCAAAGAGGTCCAAATATCCACTTGCAGATTCCAAAGAAAGAGAGTTTCAAACTGCTCCATCAATAGGATTGTTCACCTCTGTGCGTTGAATGCAGTCTTCACAGGAAACATTCTGAGAATGCTTCTGTCTAGGTTTGATGTGAAGATATACACGTTTCGAATGAAGGCCACAAAGTGGTCCAAATATCCACTTGCAGATTCTACAGAAAGAGTGTTTGAAAGCTGAACTATGAAAGGAAAGTTCAACCCCGTGAGTTGAATGCAAACATCACAAAGAATTTTCGGAGAATGCTTCCGTGTATTTCTGGGAAGTTTATCCCATTTCCAACGAAATCCTCAGAAGAGGTCCAAATATCCACCTGCAGATTCTACAGAAAGTGTGTTTGGAAACTGCTCAATCTAAAGGAATGTTCAGCTCTGTTAGTTCAATCAAATGATCACTAAGAATTGTCTGTGAATGCTTCCGTTTGGTTTTTAGATGAAGTTATTTCCTTTACTACAGTAGGCCTCAAAGCAGTCCAAATCTCCAATCGCAGATTCTACAAAAAGATTGTTTACAACCTGCTCTATGTATAGGAATGTTCAACTCTGTGAGTCGAATGCAATCATCACAAAGTAGTTTCTGAGAATGCTTCCATCTAGTTTTTATGTGAAGATTTTCCTTTTCCACCACAGGCCTCAAAGCCCTCCAAATGTCCACTTGCAGATTCTAGAATAAGAGGGTTTCAGAGCTGCTCTGTCAAGAGGAAAGTACAATTCCTGAAGTGGAACACAAACATCACAAAGCAGTTTCTGAGAATGCTTCTGTTTAGTTTTTCTGTGAAGATGAACCCGTTTCCAACGAAATCTTCACAGAGGTCCACATATCCACTTGCAGAATCCAAAGAAAGAGAGTTTCAAAACTGCTCCATCAGCAGGATTGTTCACCTCTGTGAGTTGAATGCAGTCATCACAGGAAACATTCTGAGAATGCTTCTGTCTAGGTTTGATGTGAAGATATACCCGTTTCGAAGGAAGGCCACAAAGTGGTCCAAATATCCACTTGCAGATTCTACAAAAAGAGTGTTTGAAAGCTGAACTATGAAAGCAAGGTTCAACTCTGTGAGTTGAATGCAAACATCACAAAGAAGTTTCTCAGCATGCTTCCGTGTAGTTCTGGGAAGTTTATCCCGTTTCCAACGAAATCCTCAGAGAAGTCCAAATATCCACTTGCAGATTCTACAGAAAGTGTGTTTGGAAACTGCGCCATCTAAAGGAATGTTCAGCTCTGTTAGTTCAATGCAATGATCACTAAGAATTGTCTGTGAATGCTTCCGTTTGTTTTTTAGATGAAGTTATTTCCTTTACTACAGTAGGCCTCAAAGCAGTCCAAATCTCCAATCGAAGATTCTACAAAAAGATTGTTTACAACCTGCTCTATCTATAGGAATGTTCAACTCTGTGAGTCGAATGCAATCATCACAAAGTAGTTTCTGAGAATGCTTCCATCTAGTTTTTATGTGAAGATTTTCCTTTTCCACCACTGGCCTCAAAGCCCTCCAAATGTCCACTTGCAGATTCTAGAATAAGAGGGTTTCAGAGCTGCTCTGTCAAGAGGAAAGTTCAATTCCTGAAGTGGAACACAAAAATCACAAAGCAGTTTCTGAGAATGCTTCTATTTAGTTTTTCTGTGAAGATGAACCCGTTTCCAAAGAAATCTTCACAGAGGTCCACATATCCACTTGCAGAATCCAAAGAAAGAGAGTTTCAAAACTGCTCCATCAGGAGGATTGTTCACCTCTGTGAGTTGAATGCAGTCATCACAGGAAACATTCTGAGAATGCTTCTGTCTAGGTTTGATGTGAAGATATACCCGTTTTGAAGGAAGGCCACAAAGTGGTCCAAATATCCACTTGCAGATTCTACAAAAAGAGTGTTTGAAAGCTGAACTATGAAAGCAAGGTTCAACTCTGTGAGTTGAATGCAAACATCACAAAGAAGTTTCTCAGCATGCTTCCGTGTAGTTCTGGGAAGTTTTTCCCGTTTCCAACGAAATCCTCAGAGAAGTCCAAATATCCACTTGCAGATTCTACAGAAAGTGTGTTTGGAAACTGCTCCATCTAAAGGAATGTTCAGCTCTGTTAGTTCAATCCAATAGATCACTAAGAATTGTCTGTGAATGCTTCCGTTTGGTTTTTAGATGAAGTTATTTCCTTTACTACAGTAGGCCTCAAAGCAGTCCAAATCTCCAATCGCAGATTCTAAAAAAAGATTGTTTACAACCTGCTCTATCTATAGGAATGTTCAACTCTGTGAGTCGAATGCAATCATCACAAAGTAGTTTCTGAGAATGCTTCCATCTAGTTTTTATGTGAAGATTTTCCTTTTCCACCACAGGCCTCAAAGCCCTCCAAATGTCCACTTGCAGATTCTAGAAAAAGAGGGTTTCAGAGCTGCTCGGTCAAGAGGAAAGTTCAATTGCTTGAAGTGGAACACAAACATCACAAAGCAGTTTCTGAGAATGCTTCTGTTTAGTTTTTCTGTGAAGATGAACCCGTTTCCAACGAAATGTTCTCAGAGGTCCACATATCAACTTGCAGAATCCAAAGAAAGAGAGTTTCAAAAGTGCTCCATCAACAGGATTGTTCACCTCTGTGAGTTGAATGCAGTCATCACAGGAAACATTCTGAGAATGCTTCTCTCTAGGTTTGATGTGAAGATATACCCGTTTCGAAGGAAGGCCACAAAGTGGTCCAAATATCCACTTGCAGATTCTACAAAAAGAGTGTTTGAAAGCTGAACTAGGAAAGCAAGGTTCAACTCGGTGAGTTGAATGCAAACATCACAAAGAAGTTTCTCAGAATGCTTCCGTGTAGTTCTGGGAAGTTTAGCCCGTTTCCAAAGAAATCCTCAGAGAGGTCCAAATATCCACTTGCAGATTCTACAGAAAGTGTGTTTGGAAACTGCTCCATCTAAAGGAATGTTCAGCTCTGTTAGTTCAATCCAATGATCACTAAGAATTGTCTGTGAATGCTTCCGTTTGGTTTTTAGATGAAGTTATTTCCTTTACTACAGTAGGCCTCAAAGCAGTCCAAATCTCCAATCGCAGATTCTACAAAAAGATTGTTTACAACCTGCTCTATCTATAGGAATGTTCAACTCTGTGAGTCGAATGCAATCATCACAAAGTAGTTTCTGAGAATGCTTCCATCTAGTTTTTATGTGAAGATTTTCCTTTTCCACCACAGGCCTCAAAGCCCTCCAAATGTCCACTTGCAGATTCTAGAAAAAGAGGGTTTCAGAGCTGCTCTGTCAAGAGGAAAGTTCAATTCTTGAAGTGGAACACAAACATCACAAAGCAGTTTCTGAGAATGTTCCTGTTTAGTTTTTCTGTGAAGATGAACCCGTTTCCAACGAAATCTTCACAGAGGTCCACATATCCACCTGCAGAATCCAAAGAAAGAGAGTTTCAAAACTGCTCCATCAGCAGGATTGTTCACCTCTGTGAGTTGAATGCAGTCATCACAGGAAACATTCTGAGAATGCTTCTGTCTAGGTTTGATGTGAAGATATACCCGTTTCGAAGGAAGGCCACAAAGTGGTCCAAATATCCACTTGCAGATTCTACAAAAAGAGTGTTTGAAAGCTGAACTATGAAAGCAAGGTTCAACTCTGTGAGTTGAATGCAAACATCACAAAGAAGTTTCTCAGAATACTTTCGTGTAGTTCTGGGAAGTTTATCCCGTTTCCAACGAAATCCTCAGAGAGGTCCAAATATCCACTTGCAGATTCTACAGAAAGTGTGTTTGGAAACTGCTCCATCTAAAGGAATGTTCAGCTCTGTTAGTTCTATCCAATGATCACTAAGAACTATCTGTGAATGCTTCCGTTTGGTTTTTAGATGAAGTTATTTCCTTTACTACAGTAGGCCTCAAAGCAGTCCAAATCTCCAATCACAGATTCTACAAAAAGATTGTTTACAACCTGCTCTATCTATAGGAATGTTCAACTCTGTGAGTCGAATGCAATCATCACAAAGTAGTTTCTGAGAATGCTTCCATCTAGTTTTTATGTGAAGATTTTCCTTTTCCACCACAGGTCTCAAAGCCCTCCAAATGTCCACTTGCAGATTCTAGAATAAGAGGGTTTCAGAGCTGCTCTGTCAAGAGGAAAGTTCAATTCCTGAAGTGGAACACAAAC
Source organism: Homo sapiens (assembly GCF_000001405.40). Classification (NCBI taxonomy): domain Eukaryota; kingdom Metazoa; phylum Chordata; class Mammalia; order Primates; family Hominidae; genus Homo; species Homo sapiens. The sequence goes on along the minus strand of NC_000011.10, from coordinate 52,246,044 downwards.
ATCACAAAGCAGTTTCTGAGAATGCTCCTGTTTAGTTTTTCTGTGAAGATGAACCCGTTTCCAACGAAATCTTCACAGAGGTCCACATATCCATTTGCAGAATCCAAAGAAAGAGAGTTTCAAAACTGCTCCATCAGAAGGATTATTCACCTCTGTGAGTTGAATGCAGTCATCACAGGAAACATTCTGAGAATGCTTCTGTCTAGGTTTGATGTGAAGATATACCCGTTTCGAAGGAAGGCCACAAAGTGGTCCAAATATCCACTTGCAGATTCTACAAAAAGAGTGTTTGAAAGCTGAACTATGAAAGCAAGGTTCAACTCTGTGAGTTGAATGCAAACATCACAAAGAAGTTTCTCAGAATGCTTCCGTGTAGTTCTGGGAAGTTTATCCCGTTTCCAACGAAATCCTCAGAGAGGTCCAAATATCCACTTGCAGATTCTACAGAAAGTGTGTTTGGAAACTGCGCCATCTAAAGGAATGTTCAGCTCTGTTAGTTCAATGCAATGATCACTAAGAATTGTCTGTGAATGCTTCCGTTTGGTTTTTAGATGAAGTTATTTCCTTTACTACAGTAGGCCTCAAAGCAGTCCAAATCTCCAATCGCAGATTCTACAAAAAGATTGTTTACAACCTGCTCTATCTATAGGAATGTTCAACTCTGTGAGTCGAATGCAATCATCACAAAGTAGTTTCTGAGAATGCTTCCATCTAGTTTTATGTGAAGATTTTCCTTTTCCACCACAGGCCTCAAAGCCCTCCAAATGTCCACTTGCAGATTCTAGAAAAAGAGGGTTTCAGAGCTGCTCTGTCAAGAGGAAAGTTCAATTCTTGAAGTGGAACACAAACATCACAAAGCAGTTTCTGAGAATGCTCCTGTTTAGTTTTTCTGTGAAGATGAACCCGTTTCCAACAAAATCTTCACAGAGGTCCACATATCCACTTGCAGAATCCAAAGAAAGAGAGTTTCAACACTGCTCCATCAACAGGATTGTTCACCTCTGTGAGTTGAATGCAGTCATCACAGGAAACATTCTGAGAATGCTTCTGTCTAGGTTTGATGTGAAGATATACCCGTTTCGAAGGAAGGCCACAAAGTGGTCCAAATATCCACTTGCAGATTCTACAAAAAGAGTGTTTGAAAGCTGAACTATGAAAGCGAGGTTCAACTCTGTGAGTTGAATGAAAACATCACAAAGAACTTTCTCAGAATGCTTCCGTGTAGTTCTGGGAAGTTTATCCTTTTCCAACGAAATCCTCAGAGAAGTCCAAATATCCACTTGCAGATTCTACAGAAAGTGTGTTTGGAAACTGCTCCATCTAAAGGAATGTTCAGCTCTGTTAGTTCAATGCAATGATCACTAAGAATTGTCTGTGAATGCTTCCGTTTGGTTTTTAGATGAAGTTATTTCCTTTACTACAGTAGGCCTCAAAGCAGTCCAAATCTCCAATCGCAGATTCTACAAAAAGATTGTTTACAACCTGCTCTATCTATAGGAATGCTCAACTCTGTGAGTCGAATGCAATCATCACAAAGTAGTTTCTGAGAATGCTTCCATCTAGTTTTTATGTGAAGATTTTCCTTTTCCACCACAGGCCTCAAAGCCCTCCAAATGTCCACTTGCAGATTCTAGAAAAAGAGGGTTTCAGAGCTGCTCTGTCAAGAGGAAAGTTCAATTCTTGAAGTGGAACACAAACATCACAAAGCAGTTTCTGAGAATGCTTCTGTTTAGTTTTTCTGTGAAGATGAACCCGTTTCCAACGAAATCTTCACAGAGGTCCACATATCAACTTGCAGAATCCAAAGAAAGAGAGTTTCAAAAGTGCTCCATCAACAGGATTGTTCACCTCTGTGAGTTGAATGCAGTCATCACAGGAAACATTCTGAGAATGCTTCTGTCTAGGTTTGATATGAAGATATACCCGTTTCGAAGGAAGGCCACAAAGTGGTCCAAATATCCACTTGCAGATTCTACAAAAAGAGTGTTTGAAAGCTGAACTATGAAAGCAAGTTTCAACTCTGTGAGTTGAATGCAAACATCACAAAGAAGTTTCTCAGCATGCTTCCGTGTAGTTCTGGGAAGTTTATCCCGTTTCCAACGAAATCCTCAGAGAAGTCCAAATATCCACTTGCAGATTCTACAGAAAGTGTGTTTGGAAACTGCGCCATCTAAAGGAATGTTCAGCTCTGTTAGTTCAATGCAATGATCACTAAGAATTGTCTGTGAATGCTTCCGTTTGGTTTTTAGATGAAGTTATTTCCTTTACTACAGTAGGCCTCAAAGCAGTCCAAATCTCCAATCTCAGATTCTACAAAAAGATTGTTTACAACCTGCTCTATCTTTAGGAATGTTCAACTCTGTGAGTCGAATGCAATCATCACAAAGTAGTTTCTGAGAATGCTTCCATCTAGTTTTTATGTGAAGATTTTCCTTTTCCACCACAGGCCTCAAAGCCCTCCAAATGTCCACTTGCAAATTCTAGAATAAGAGGGTTTCAGAGCTGCTCTGTCAAGAGGAAAGTTCAATTCCTGAAGTGGAACACAAACATCACAAAGCAGTTTCTGAGAATGCTTCTGTTTAGTTTTTCTGTGAAGATGAACCCGTTTCCAACGAAATCTTCACAGAGGTCCACATATCCACTTGCAGAATCCAAAGAAAGAGAGTTTCAAAACTGCTCCATCAGCAGGATTGTTCACCTCTGTGAGTTGAATGCAGTCATCACAGGAAACATTCTGAGAATGCTTCTGTCTAGGTTTGATGTGAAGATATACCCGTTTCGAAGGAAGGCCACAAAGTGGTCCAAATATCCACTTGCAGATTCTACAAAAAGAGTGTTTGAAAGCTGAACTATGAAAGCAAGGTTCAACTCTGTGAGTTGAATGCAAACATCACAAAGAAGTTTCTCAGCATGCTTCCGTGTAGTTCTGGGAAATTTATCCCGTTTCCAACGAAATCCTCAGAGAGGTCCAAATATCCACTTGCAGATTCTACAGAAAGTGTGTTTGGAAACTGCGCCATCTAAAGCAATGTTCAGCTCTGTTAGTTCAATGCAATGATCACTAAGAATTGTCTGTGAATGCTTCCGTTTGGTTTTTAGATGAAGTTATTTCCTTTACTACAGTAGGCCTCAAAGCAGTCCAAATCTCCAATCGCAGATTCTACAAAAAGATTGTTTACAACCTGCTCTATCTATAGGAATGTTCAACTCTGTGAGTCGAATGCAATCATCACAAAGTAGTTTCTGAGAATGCTTCCATCTAGTTTTTATGTGAAGATTTTCCTTTTGCACCACAGGCCTCAAAGCCCTCCAAATGTCCACTTGCAGATTCTAGAAAAAGAGGGTTTCAGAGCTGCTCTGTCAAGAGGAAAGTTCAATTCTTGAAGTGGAACACAAACATCACAAAGTAGTTTCTGAGAATGCTTCTGTTTAGTTTTTCTGTGAAGATGAACCCGTTTCCAACGAAATCTTCACAGAGGTCCACATATCAACTTGCAGAATCCAAAGAAAGAGAGTTTCAAAAGTGCTCCATCAACAGGATTGTTCACCTCTGTGAGTTGAATGCAGTCATCACAGGAAACATTCTGAGAATGCTTCTGTCTAGGTTTGATGTGAAGATATACCCGTTTCGAAGGAAGGCCACAAAGTGGTCCAAATATCCACTTGCAGATTCTACAAAAAGAGTGTTTGAAAGCTGAACTATGAAAGCAAGGTTCAACTCTGTGAGTTGAATGCAAACATCACAAAGAAGTTTCTCAGCATGCTTCCGTGTAGTTCTGGGAAGTTTATCCCGTTTCCAACGAAATCCTCAGAGAGGTCCAAATATCCACTTGCAGATTCTACAGAAAGTGTGTTTGGAAACTGCGCCATCTAAAGGAATGTTCAGCTCTGTTAGTTCAATCCAATAATCACTAAGAATTGTCTGTGAATGCTTCCGTTTGGTTTTTAGATGAAGTTATTTCCTTTACTACAGTAGGCCTCAAAGCAGTCCAAATCTCCAATCGCAGATTCTACAAAAAGATTGTTTACAACCTGCTCTATCTATAGGAATGTTCAACTCTGTGAGTCGAATGCAATCATCACAAAGTAGTTTCTGAGAATGCTTCCATCTAGTTTTTATGTGAAGATTTTCCTTTTCCACCACAGGCCTCAAAGCCCTCCAAATGTCCACTTGCAGATTCTAGAATAAGAGGGTTTCAGAGCTGCTCTGTCAAGAGGAAAGTTCAATTCTTGAAGTGGAACACAAACATCACAAAGCAGTTTCTGAGAATGCTTCTGTTTAGTTTTTCTGTGAAGATGAACCCGTTTCCAACGAAATCTTCACAGAGGTCCACATATCCACTTGCAGAATCCAAAGAAAGAGAGTTTCAAAACTGCTCCATCAGCAGGATTGTTCACCTCTGTGAGTTGAATGCAGTCATCACAGGAAACATTCTGAGAATGCTTCTGTCTAGGTTTGATGTGAAGATATACCCGTTTCGAAGGAAGGCCACAAAGTGGTCCAAATATCCACTTGCAGATTCTACAAAAAGAGTGTTTGAAAGCTGAACTATGAAAGCAAGGTTCAACTCTGTGAGTTGAATGCAAACATGACAAAGAAGTTTCTCAGAATGCTTCCGTGTAGTTCTGGGAAGTTTATCCCTTTTCCAACAAAATCCTCAGAGAGGTCCAAATATCCACTTGCAGATTCTACAGAAAGTGTGTTTGGAAACTGCGCCATCTAAAGGAATGTGCAGCTCTGTTAGTTCAATCCAATGATCACTAAGAATTGTCTGTGAATGCTTCCGTTTGGTTTTTAGATGAAGTTATTTCCTTTACTACAGTAGGCCTCAAAGCAGTCCAAATCTCCAATCGCAGATTCTACAAAAAGATTGTTTACAACCTGCTCTATCTATAGGAATGTTCAACTCTGTGAGTCGAATGCAATCATCACAAAGTAGTTTCTGAGAATGCTTCCATCTAGTTTTTATGTGAAGATTTTCCTTTTCCACCACAGGCCTCAAAGCCCTCCAAATGTCCACTTGCAGATTCTAGAAAAAGAGGGTTTCAGAGCTGCTCTGTCAAGAGGAAAGTTCAATTCCTGAAGTGGAACACAAACATCACAAAGCAGTTTCTGAGAATGCTCCTGTTTAGTTTTTCTGTGAAGATGAACCCGTTTCCAACGAAATCTTCACAGAGGTCCACATATCCACTTGCAGAATCCAAAGATGGAGAGTTTCAAAACTGCTCCATCAGCAGGATTGTTCACCTCTGTGAGTTGAATGCAGTCATCACAGGAAACATTCTGAGAATGCTTCTGTCTAGGTTTGATGTGAAGATATACCCGTTTCGAAGGAAGGCCACAAAGTGGTCCAAATATCCACTTGCAGATTCTACAAAAAGAGTGTTTGAAAGCTGAACTATGAAAGCAAGGTTCAACTCTGTGAGTTGAATGCAAACATCACAAAGAAGTTTCTCAAAATGCTTCCCTGTAGTTCTGGGAAGTTTATCCCGTTTCCAACGAAATCCTCAGAGAAGTCCAAATATCCACTTGCAGATTCTACAGAAAGTGTGTTTGGAAACTGCTCCATCTAAAGGAATGTTCAGCTCTGTTAGTTCAATCCAATGATCACTAAGAATTGTCTGTGAAAGCTTCCGTTTGGTTTTTAGATGAAGTTATTTCCTTTACTACAGTAGGCCTCAAAGCAGTCCAAATCTCCAATCGCAGATTCTACAAAAAGATTGTTTACAACCTGCTCTATCTATAGGAATGTTCAACTCTGTGAGTCGAATGCAATCATCACAAAGAAGTTTCTGAGAATGCTTCCATCTAGTTTTTATGTGAAGATTTTCCTTTTCCACCACAGGCCTCAAAGCCCTCCAAATGTCCACTTGCAGATTCTAGAATAAGAGGGTTTCAGAGCTGCTCTGTCAAGAGGAAAGTTCAATTCCTGAAGTGGAACACAAACATCACAAAGCAGTTTCCGAGAATGCTTCTGTTTAGTTTTTCTGTGAAGATGAACCCGTTTCCAACGAAATCTTCACAGAGGTCCACATATCCACTTGCAGAATCCAAAGAAAGAGAGTTTCAAAACTGCTCCATCAGAAGGATTGTTCACCTCTGTGAGTTGAATGCAGTCATCACAGGAAACATTCTGAGAATGCTTGTGTCTAGGTTTGATGTGAAGATATACCCGTTTCGAAGGAAGGCCACAAAGTGATCCAAATATCCACTTGCAGATTCTACAAAAAGAGTGTTTGAAAGCTGAACTATGAAAGCAAGGTTCAACTCTGTGAGTTGAATGCAAACATCACAAAGAAGTTTCTCAGAATGCTTCCGTGTAGTTCTGGGAAGTTTATCCCGTTTCCAACGAAATCCTCAGAGAAGTCCAAATATCCACTTGCAGATTCTACAGAAAGTGTGTTTGGAAACTGCTTCATCTAAAGGAATGTTCAGCTCCGTTAGTTCAATGCAATGATCACTAAGAATTGTCTGTGAATGCTTCCGTTTGGTTTTTAGATGAAGTTATTTCCTTTACTACAGTAGGCCTCAAAGCAGTCCAAATCTCCAATCGCAGATTCTACAAAAAGATTGTTTACAACCTGCGCTATCTATAGGAATGTTCAACTCTGTGAGTCGAATGCAATCATCACAAAGTAGTTTCTGAGAATGCTTCCATCTAGTTTTTATGGGAAGATTTTCCTTTTCCACCACAGGCCTCAAAGCCCTCCAAATGTCCACTTGCAGATTCTAGAAAAAGAGGGTTTCAGAGCTGCTCTGTCAAGAGGAAAGTTCAATTCTTGAAGTGGAACACAAACATCACAAAGCAGTTTCTGAGAATGCTCCTGTTTAGTTTTTCGGTGAAGATGAACCCGTTTCCAACGAAATCTTCACAGAGGTCCACATATCCGCTTGCAGAATCCAAAGAAAGAGAGTTTCAAAACTGCTCCATCAACAGGATTGTTCACCTCTGTGAGTTGAATGCAGTCATCACAGGAAACATTCTGAGAATGCTTCTGTCTAGGTTTGATGTGAAGATATACCCGTTTCGAAGGAAGGCCACAAAGTGGTCCAAATATCCACTTGCAGATTCTACAAAAAGAGTGTTTGAAAGCTGAACTATGAAAGCAAGGTTCAACTCTGTGAGTTGAATGCAAACATCACAAAGAAGTTTCTCACAATGCTTCCGTGTAGTTCTGGGAAGTTTATCCCGTTTCCAACGAAATCCTCAGAGAAGTCCAAATATCCACTTGCAGATTCTACAGAAAGTGGGTTTGGAAACTGCTCCATCTAAAAGAATGTTCAGCTCTATTAGTTCAATCCAATGATCACTAAGAATTGTCTGTGAATGCTTCCGTTTGGTTTTTAGATGAAGTTATTTCCTTCACTACAGTAGGCCTCAAAGCAGTCCAAATCTCCAATCGCAGATTCTACAAAAAGATTGTTTACAACCTACTATATCTATAGGAATGTTCAACTCTGTGAGTCGAATGCAATCATCACAAAGTAGTTTCTGAGAATGCTTCCATCTAGTTTTTATGTGAAGATTTTCCTTTTCCACCACAGGCCTCAAAGCCCTCCAAATGTCCACTTGCAGATTCTAGAATAAGAGGGTTTCAGAGCTGCTCTGTCAAGAGGAAAGTTCAATTCCTGAAGTGGAACACAAACATCACAAAGCAGTTTCTGAGAATGCTTCTGTTTAGTTTTTCTGTGAAGATGAACCCGTTTCCAACGAAATCTTCACAGAGGTCCACATATCCACTTGCAGAATCCAAAGAAAGAGAGTTTCAAAACTGCTCCATCAGCAGGATTGTTCACCTCTGTGAGTTGAATGCAGTCATCACAGGAAACATTCTGAGAATGCTTCTGTCTAGGTTTGATGTGAAGATATACCCGTTTCGAAGGAAGGCCCCAAAGTGGTCCAAATATCCACTTGCAGATTCTACAAAAAGAGTGTTTGAAAGCTGAACTATGAAAGCAAGGTTCAACTCTGTGAGTTGAATGCAAACATCACAAAGAAGTTTCTCACAATGCTTCCGTGTAGTTCTGGGAAGTTTATCCCCTTTCCAACGAAATCCTCAGAGAGGTCCAAATATCCACTTGCAGATTCTACAGAAAGTGTGTTTGGAAACTGCGCCATCTAAAGGAATGTTCAGCTCTGTTAGTTCAATGCAATGATCACTAAGAATTGTCTGTGAATGCTTCCGTTTGGTTTTTAGATGAAGTTATTTCCTTTACTACAGTAGGCCTCAAAGCAGTCCAAATCTCCAATCGCAGATTCTACAAAAAGATTGTTTACAACCTGCTCTATCTATAGGAATGTTCAACTCTGTGAGTCGAATGCAATCATCACAAAGTAGTTTCTGAGAATGCTTCCATCTAGTTTTTATGTGAAGATTTTCCTTTTCCACCACAGGCCTCAAAGCCCTTCAAATGTCCACTTGCAGATTCTGGAAAAAGAGGGTTTCAGAGCAGCTCTGTCAAGAGGAAAGTTCAATTCCTGAAGTGGAACACAAACATCACAAAGCAGTTTCTGAGAATGCTCCTGTTTAGTTTTTCTGTGAAGATGAACCCGTTTCCAACGAAATCTTCACAGAGGTCCACATATCCACTTGCAGAATCCAAAGAAAGAGAGTTTCAAAACTGCTCCATCAGCAGGATTGTTCACCTCTGTGAGTTGAATGCAGTCATCACAGGAAACATTCTGAGAATGCTTCTGTCTAGGTTTGATGTGAAGATCTACCCGTTTCAAAGGAAGGCCACAAAGTGGTCCAAATATCCACTTGCAGATTCTACAAAAAGAGTGTTTGAAAGCTGAACTATGAAAGCAAGGTTCAACTCTGTGAGTTGAATGCAAACATCAGAAATATGATTCTCACAATGCTTCCGTGTAGTTCTGGGAAGTTTATCCCGTTTCCAACGAAATCCTCAGAGAAGTCCAAATATCCACTTGCAGATTCTACAGAAAGTGTGTTTGGAAACTGCTCCATCTAAAGGAATGTTCAGCTCTGTTAGTTCAATCCAATGATCACTAAGAATTGTCTGTGAATGCTTCCGTTTGGTTTTTAGATGAAGTTATTTCCTTTACTACAGTAGGCCTCAAAGCAGTCCAAATCTCCAATCGCAGATTCTACAAAAAGATTGTTTACAACCTGCTCTATCTATAGGAATGTTCAACTCTGTGAGTCGAATGCAATCATCACAAAGTAGTTTCTGAGAATGCTTCCATCTAGTTTTTATGTGAAGATTTTCCTTTTCCACCACAGGCCTCAAAGCCCTCCAAATGTCCACTTGCAGATTCTAGAAAAAGAGGGTTTCAGAGCTGCTCTGTCAAGAGGAAAGTTCAATTCTTGAAGTGGAACACAAACATCACAAAGCAGTTTCTGAGAATGCTTCTGTTTAGTTTTTCTGGGAAGATGAACCCGTTTCCAACGAAATCTTCGCAGAGGTCCACATATCAACTTGCAGAATCCAAAGAAAGAGAGTTTCAAAAGTGCTCCGTCAACAGGATTGTTCACCTCTGTGAGTTGAATGCAGTCATCACAGGAAACATTCTGAGAATGCTTCTGTCTAGGTTTGATGTGAAGATATACCCGTTTCGAAGGAAGGCCACAAAGTGGTCCAAATATCCACTTGCAGATTCTACAAAAAGAGTGTTTGAAAGCTGAACTATGAAAGCAAGGTTCAACTCTGTGAGTTGAATGCAAACATCACAAAGAAGTTTCTCAGAATGCTTCCGTGTAGTTCTGGGAAGTTTATCCCGTTTCCAACGAAATCCTCAGAGAGGTCCAAATATCCACTTGCAGATGCTACAGAAAGTGTGTTTGGAAACTGCGCCATCTAAAGGAATGTTCAGCTCTGTTAGTTCAATGCAATGATCACTAAGAATTGTCTGTGAATGCTTCCGTTTGGTTTTTAGATGAAGTTATTTCCTTTACTACAGTAGGCCTCAAAGCAGTCCAAATCTCCAATCGCAGATTCTACAAAAAGATTGTTTACAACCTGCTCTATCTATAGGAATGTTCAACTCTGTGAGTCGAATGCAATCATCACAAAGTAGTTTCTGAGAATGCTTCCATCTAGTTTTTATGTGAAGATTTTCCTTTTCCACCACAGGCCTCAAAGCCCTCCAAATGTCCCCTTGCAGATTCTAGAAAAAGAGGGTTTCAGAGCTGCTCTGTCAAGAGGAAAGTTCAATTCTTGAAGTGGAACACAAACATCACAAAGCAGTTTCTGAGAATGCTTCTGTTTAGTTTCTCTGTGAAGATGAACCCGTTTCCAACGAAATCTTTACAGAGGTCCACATATCCACTTGCAGAATCCAAAGAAAGAGAGTTTCAAAACTGCTCCATCAGCAGGATTGTTCACCTCGGTGAGTTGAATGCAGTCATCACAGGAAACATTCTGAGAATGCTTCTGTCTAGGTTTGATGTGAAGATATACCCGTTTCGAAGGAAGGCCACAAAGTGGTCCAAATATCCACTTGCAGATTCTACAAAAAGAGTGTTTGAAAGCTGAACTATGAAAGCAAGGTTCAACACTGTGAGTTGAATGCAAACATCACAAAGAAGTTTCTCACAATGCTCCGTGTAGTTCTGGGAAGTTTATCCCGTTTCCAACGAAATCCTCAGAGAAGTCCGAATATCCACTTGCAGATTCTACAGAAAGTGGGTTTGGAAACTGCTCCATCTAAAGGAATGTTCAGCTCTGTTAGTTCAATCCAATGATCACTAAGAATTGTCTCTGAATGCTTCCGTTTGCTTTTTAGATGAAGTTATTTCCTTTACTACAGTAGGCCTCAAAGCAGTGCAAATCTCCAATCGCAGATTCTACAAAAAGATTGTTTACAACCTGCTCTATCTATAGGAATGTTCAACTCTGTGAGTCGAATGCAATCATCACAAAGTAGTTTCTGAGAATGCTTCCATCTAGTTTTTATGTGAAGATTTTCCTTTTCCACCACAGGCCTCAAAGCCCTCCAAATGTCCACTTGCAGATTCTAGAAAAAGAGGGTTTCAGAGCTGCTCTGTCAAGAGGAAAGTTCAATTCTTGAAGTGGAACACAAACATCACAAAGCAGTTTCTGAGAATGCTCCTGTTTAGTTTTTCTGTGAAGATGAACCCGTTTCCAACGAAATCTTCACAGAGGTCCACATATCCACTTGCAGAATCCAAAGAAAGAGAGTTTCAAAACTGCTCCATCAGCAGGATTGTTCACCTCTGTGAGTTGAATGCAGTCATCACAGGAAACATTCTGAGAATGCTTCTGTGTAGGTTTGATGTGAAGATATACCCGTTTCGAAGCAAGGCCACAAAGTGGTCCAAATATCCACTTGCAGATTCTACAAAAAGAGTGTTTGAAAGCTGAACTATGAAAGCAAGGTTCAACTCTGTGAGTTGAATGCAAACATCACAAAGAAGTTTCTCACAATGCTTCCGTGTAGTTCTGGGAAGTTTATCCCGTTTCCAACGAAATCCTCAGAGAAGTCCAAATATCCACTTGCAGATTCTACAGAAAGTGTGTTTGGAAACTGCTCCATCTAAAGGAATGTTCAGCTCTGTTAGTTCAATCCAATGATCACTAAGAATTGTCTGTGAATGCTTCCGTTTGGTTTTTAGATGAAGTTATTTCCTTTACTACAGTAGGCCTCAAAGCAGTCCAAATCTCCAATCGCAGATTCTACAAAAACATTGTTTACAACCTGCTCTATCTATAGGAATGTTCAACTCTGTGAGTCGAATGCAATCATCACAAAGTAGTTTCTGAGAATGCTTCCATCTAGTTTTTATGTGAAGATTTTCCGTTTGCACAACAGGCCTCAAAGCCCTCCAAATGTCCACTTGCAGATTCTAGAAAAAGAGGGTTTCAGAGCTGCTCTGTCAAGAGGAAAGTTCAATTCTTGATGTGGAACAAAAACATCACAAAGCAGTTTCTGAGAATGCTCCTGTTTAGTTTTCCTGTGAAGATGAACCCGTTTCCAACGAAATCTTCACAGAGGTCCACATATCGACTTGCAGAATCCAAAGAAAGAGAGTTTCAAAACTGCTCCATCAGCAGGATTGTTCACCTCTGTGAGTTGAATGCAGTCATCACAGGAAACATTCTGAGAATGCTTCTGTCTAGGTTTGATGTGAAGATATACCCGTTTCGAAGGAAGGCCACAAAGTGGTCCAAATATCCACTTGCAGATTCTACAAAAAGAGTGTTTGAAAGCTGAACTATGAAAGCAAGGTTCAACTCTGTGAGTTGAATGCAAACATCACAAAGAAGTTTCTCACAATGCTTCCGTGTAGTTCTGGGAAGTTTATCCCGTTTCCAACGAAATCCTCAGAGAAGTCCAAATATCCACTTGCAGATTCTACAGAAAGTGTGTTTGGAAACTGCGCCATCTAAAGGAATGTTCAGCTCTGTTAGTTCAATGCAATGATCACTAAGAATTGTCTGTGAATGCTTCCGTTTGGTTTTTAGATGAAGTTATTTCCTTTACTACAGTAGGCCTCAAAGCAGTCCAAATCTCCAATCGCAGATTCTACAAAAACATTGTTTACAACCTGCTCTATCTATAGGAATGTTCAACTCTGTGAGTCGAATGCAATCATCACAAAGTAGTTTCTGAGAATGCTTCCATCTAGTTTTTATGTGAAGATTTTCCTTTTCCACCACAGGCCTCAAAGCCCTCCAAATGTCCACTTGCAGATTCTAGAAAAAGAGGGTTTCAGAGCTGCTCTGTCAAGAGGAAAGTTCAATTCTTGAAGTGGAACACAAACATCACAAAGCAGTTTCTGAGAATGCTTCTGTTTAGTTTTTCTGTGAAGATGAACCCGTTTCCAACGAAATCTTCACAGAGGTCCACATATCCACTTGCAGAATCCAAAGAAAGCGAGTTTCAAAACTGCTCCATCAGCAGGATTGTTCACCTCTGTGAGTTGAATGCAGTCATCACAGGAAACATTCTGAGAATGCTTCTGTCTAGGTTTGATGTGAAGATATACCCGTTTCGAAGGAAGGCCACAAAGTGGTCCAAATATCCACTTGCAGATTCTACAAAAAGAGTGTTTGAAAGCTGAACTATGAAAGCAAGGTTCAACTCTGTGAGTTGAATGCAAACATCACAAAGAATTTTCTCAGAATGCTTCCGTGTAGTTTTGGGAAGTTTATCCCTTTTCCAACGATATCCTCAGAGAGGTCCAAATATCCACTTGCAGATTCTACAGAAAGTGTGTTTGGAAACTGCGCCATCTAAAGGAATGTTCAGCTCTGTTAGTTCAATCCAATGATCACTAAGAATTGTCTGTGAATGCTTCCGTTTGGTTTTTAGATGAAATTATTTCCTTTACTACAGTAGGCCTCAAAGCAGTCCAAATCTCCAATCGCAGATTCTACAAAAAGATTGTTTACAACCTGCTCTATCTATAGGAATGTTCAACCCTGTGAGTCGAATGCAATCATCACAAAGTAGTTTCTGAGAATGCTTCCATCTAGTTTTTATGTGAAGATTTTCCTTTTCCACCACAGGCCTCAAAGCCCTCCAAATGTCCACTTGCAGATTCTAGAATAAGAGGGTTTCAGAGCTGTTCTGTCAAGAGGAAAGTTCAATTCCTGAAGTGGAACACAAACATCACAAAGCAGTTTCTGAGAATGCTTCTGTTTAGTTTTTCTGTGAAGATGAACCCGTTTCCAACGAAATCTTCACAGAGGTCCACATATCCACTTGCAGAATCCAAAGAAAGAGAGTTTCAAAACTGCTCCATCAACAGGATTGTTCACCTCTGTGAGTTGAATGCAGTCATCACAGGAAACATTCTGAGAATGCTTCTGTCTAGGTTTGATGTGAAGATATACCCGTTTCGAAGGAAGGCCACAAAGTGGTCCAAATATCCACTTGCAGATTCTACAAAAAGAGTGTTTGAAAGCTGAACTATGAAAGCAAGGTTCAACTCTGTGAGTTGAATGCAAACATCACAAAGAAGTTTCTCAGAATGCTTCCGTGTAGTTCTGGGAAGTTTATCCCGTTTCCAACGAAATCCTCAGAGAGGTCCAAATATCCACTTGCAGATTCTACAGAAAGTGTGTTTGGAAACTGCGCCATCTAAAGGAATGTTCAGCTCTGTTAGTTCAATGCAATGATCACTAAGGATTGTCTGTGAATGCTTCCGTTTGGTTTTTAGATGAAGTTATTTCCTTTACTACAGTAGGCCTCAAAGCAGTCCAAATCTCCAATCGCAGATTCTACAAAAAGATTGTTTACAACCTGCTCTATCTATAGGAATGTTCAACTCTGTGAGTCGAATGCAATCATCACAAAGTAGTTTCTGAGAATGCTTCCATCTAGTTTTTATGTGAAGATTTTCCTTTTCCACCACAGGCCTCAAAGCCCTCCAAATGTCCACTTGCAGATTCTAGAATAAGAGGGTTTCAGAGCTGCTCTGTCAAGAGGAAAGTTCAATTCCTGAAGTGGAACACAAACATCACAAAGCAGTTTCTGAGAATGCTTCTGTTTAGTTTTTCTGTGAAGATGAACCCGTTTCCAACGAAATCTTCACAGAGGTCCACATATCCACTTGCAGAATCCAAAGAAAGAGAGTTTCAAAACTGCTCCATCAGCAGGATTGTTCACCTCTGTGAGTTGAATGCAGTCATCACAGGAAACATTCTGAGAATGCTTCTGTCTAGGTTTGATGTGAAGATATACCCGTTTCGAAGGAAGGCCACAAAGTGGTCCAAATATCCACTTGCAGATTCTACAAAAAGAGTGTTTGAAAGCTGAACTATGAAAGCAAGGTTCAACTCTGTGAGTTGAATGCAAACATCACAAAGAAGTTTCTCAGAATACTTCCGTGTAGTTCTGGGAAGTTTATCCTGTTTCCAACGAAATCCTCAGAGAGGTCCAAATATCCACTTGCAGATTCTACAGAAAGAGTGTTTGGAAACTCCTCCATCTAAAGGAATGTTCAGCTCTGTTAGTTCAAACCAATGATCACTAAGAATTTTCTCTGAATGCTTCCGTTTGGTTTTTAGATGAAGTTATTTCCTTTACTACAGTAGGCCTCAAAGCAGTCCAAATCTCCAATCGCAGATTCTACAAAAAGATTGTTTTCAACCTGCTCTATCTATAGGAATGTTCAACTCTGTGAGTCGAATGCAATCATCACAAAGTAGTTTCTGAGAATGCTTCCATCTAGTTTTTATGTGAAGATTTTCCTTTTCCACCACAGGCCTCAAAGCCCTCCAAATGTCCACTTGCAGATTCTAGAAAAAGAGGGTTTCAGAGCTGCTTTGTCAAGAGGAAAGTTCAATTCTTGAAGTGGAACACAAACATCACAAAGCAGTTTCTGAGAATGCTTCTGTTTAGTTTTTCTGTGAAGATAAACCCGTTTCCAACGAAATCTTCACAGAGGTCCACATATCCACTTGCAGAATCCAAAGAAAGAGAGTTTCAAAACTGCTCCATCAGCAGGATTGTTCACCTCTGTGAGTTGAATGCAGTCATCACAGGAAACATTCTGAGAATGCTTCTGTCTAGGTTTGATGTGAAGATATACCCGTTTCGAAGGAAGGCCACAAAGTGGTCCAAATATCCACTTGCAGATTCTACAAAAAGAGTGTTTGAAAGCTGAACTATGAAAGCAAGGTTCAACACTGTGAGTTGAATGCAAACATCACAAAGAAGTTTCTCAGAATACTTTCGTGTAGTTCTGGGAAGTTTATCCCGTTTCCAACGAAATCCTCAGAGAGGTCCAAATATCCACTTGCAGATTCTACAGAAAGTGTGTTTGGAAACTGCTCCATCTAAAGGAATGTTCAGCTCTGTTAGTTCTATCCAATGATCACTAAGAACTGTCTGTGAATGCTTCCGTTTGGTTTTTAGATGAAGTTATTTCCTTTACTACAGTAGGCCTCAAAGCAGTCCAAATATCCAATCGCAGATTCTACAAAAAGATTGTTTACAACCTGCTCTATCTATAGGAATGTTCAACTCTGTGAGTCGAATGCAATCATCACAAAGGAGTTTCTGAGAATGCTTCCATCTAGTTTTTATGTGAAGATTTTCCTTTTCCACCACAGGCCTCAAAGCCCTCCAAATGTCCACTTGCAGATTCTAGAAAAAGAGGGTTTCAGAGCTGCTCTGTCAAGAGGAAAGTTCAATTCTTGAAGTGGAACACAAACATCACAAAGCAGTTTCTGAGAATGCTCCTGTTTAGTTTTTCTGTGAAGATGAACCCGTTTCCAACGAAATCTTCACAGAGGTCCACATATCCACTTGTAGAATCCAAAGAAAGAGAGTTTCAAAACTGCTCCATCAGCAGGATTGTTCACCTCTGTGAGTTGAATGCAGTCATCACAGGAAACATTCTGAGAATGCTTCTGTCTAGGTTTGATGTGAAGATATACCCGTTTCGAAGGAAGACCACAAAGTGGTCCAAATATCCACTTGCAGATTCTACAAAAAGAGTGTTTGAAAGCTGAACTATGAAACCAAGGTTCAACTCTGTGAGTTGAATGCAAACTTCACAAAGAATTTTCTCACAATGCTTCCGTGTAGTTCTGGGAAGTTTATCCCGTTTCCAACGAAATCCTCAGAGAGGTCCAAATATCCACTTGCAGATTCTACAGAAAGTGTGTTTGGAAACTGCTCCATCTAAAGGAATGTTCAGCTCTGTTAGTTCAATCCAATGATCACTAAGAATTGTCTGTGAATGCTTCCGTTTGGTTTTTAGATGAAGTTATTTCCTTTACTACAGTAGGCCTCAAAGCAGTCCAAATCTCCAATCGCAGATTCTACAAAAAGATTGTTTACAACCTGCTCTATCTATAGGAATGTTCAACTCTGTGAGTCGAATGCAATCATCACAAAGTAGTTTCTGAGAATGCTTCCATCTAGTTTTTATGTGAAGATTTTCCTTTTCCACCACAGGCCTCAAAGCCCTCCAAATGTCCACTTGCAGATTCTAGAATAAGAGGGTTTCAGAGCTGCTCTGTCAAGAGGAAAGTTCAATTCTTGAAGTGGAACACAAACATCACAAAGCAGTTTCTGAGAATGCTTCTGTTTAGTTTTTCTGTGAAGATGAACCCGTTTCCAACGAAATCTTCACAGAGGTCCACATATCCACTTGCAGAATCCAAAGAAAGAGAGTTTCAAAACTGCTCCATCAGCAGGATTGTTCACCTCTGTGAGTTGAATGCAGTCATCACAGGAAACATTCTGAGAATGCTTCTGTCTAGGTTTGATGTGAAGATATACCCGTTTCGAAGGAAGGCCACAAAGTGGTCCAAATATCCACTTGCAGATTCTACAAAAAGAGTGTTTGAAAGCTGAACTATGAAAGCAGGGTTCAACTCTGTGAGTTGAATGCAAACATCACAAAGAAGTTTCTCAGAATGCTTCCGTGTAGTTCTGGGAATTTTATCCCGTTTCCAACGAAATCCTCAGGGAGGTCCAAATATCCACTTGCAGATTCTACAGAAAGTGTGTTTGGAAACTGCGCCATCTAAAGGAATGTTCAGCTCTGTTAGTTCAATGCAATGATCACTAAGAATTGTCTGTGAATGCTTCCGTTTGGTTTTTAGATGAAGTTATTTCCTTTACTACAGTAGGCCTCAAAGCAGTCCAAATCTCCAATCGCAGATTCTACAAAAAGATTGTTTACAACCTGCTCTATCTATAGGAATGTTCAACTCTGTGAGTCGAATGCAATCATCACAAAGTAGTTTCTGAGAATGCTTCCATCTAGTTTTTATGTGAAGATTTTCCTTTTCCACCACAGGCCTCAAAGCCCTCCAAATGTCCACTTGCAGATTCTAGAAAAAGAGGGTTTCAGAGCTGCTCTGTCAAGAGGAAAGTTCAATTCTTGAAGTGGAACACAAACATCACAAAGTAGTTTCTGAGAATGCTTCTGTTTAGTTTTTCTGTGAAGATGAACCCGTTTCCAACGAAATCTTCACAGAGGTCCACATATCAACTTGCAGAATCCAAAGAAAGAGAGTTTCAAAAGTGCTCCATCAACAGGATTGTTCACCTCTGTGAGTTGAATGCAGTCATCACAGGAAACATTCTGAGAATGCTTCTGTCTAGGTTTGATGTGAAGATACACCCGTTTCGAAGGAAGGCCACAAAGTGGTCCAAATATCCACTTGCAGATTCCACAAAAAGAGTGTTTGAAAGCTGAACTATGAAAGCAAGGTTCAACTCTGTGAGTTGAATGCAAACATCACAGAGAAGTTTCTCACAATGCTTCCGTGTAGTTCTGGGAAGTTTATCCCGTTTCCAACGAAATCCTCAGAGAAGTCCAAATATCCACTTGCAGATTCTACAGAAAGTGTGTTTGGAAACTGCTCCATCTAAAGGAATGTTCAGCTCTGTTAGTTCAATCCAATGATCACTAAGAATTGTCTGTGAATGCTTCCGTTTGGTTTTTAGATGAAGTTATTTCCTTTACTACAGTAGGCCTCAAAGCAGTCCAAATCTCCAATCGCAGATTCTACAAAAAGATTGTTTACAACCTGCTCTATCTATAGGAATGTTCAACTCTGTGAGTCGAATGCAATCATCACAAAGTAGTTTCTGAGAATGCTTCCATCTAGTTTTTATGTGAAGATTTTCCTTTTCCACCACAGGCCTCAAAGCCCTCCAAATGTCCACTTGCAGATTCTAGAATAAGAGGGTTTCAGAGCTGCTCTGTCAAGAGGAAAGTTCAATTCTTGAAGTGGAACACAAACATCACAAAGCAGTTTCTGAGAATGCTTCTGTTTAGTTTTTCTGTGAAGATGAACCCGTTTCCAACGAAATCTTCACAGAGGTCCACATATCCACTTGCAGAATCCAAAGAAAGAGAGTTTCAAAACTGCTCCATCAGCAGGATTGTTCACCTCTGTGAGTTGAATGCAGTCATCACAGGAAACATTCTGAGAATGCTTCTGTCTAGGTTTGATGTGAAGATATACCCGTTTCGAAGGAAGGCCACAAAGTGGTCCAAATATCCACTTGCAGATTCTACAAAAAGAGTGTTTGAAAGCTGAACTATGAAAGCAAGGTTCAACTCTGTGAGTTGAATGCAAACATCACAAAGAAGTTTCTCACAATGCTTCCGTGTAGTTCTGGGAAGTTTATCCCGTTTCCAACGAAATCCTCAGAGAGGTCCAAATATCCACTTGCAGATTCTACAGAAAGTGTGTTTGGAAACTGCGCCATCTAAAGGAATGTTCAGCTCTGTTAGTTCAATGCAATGATCACTAAGAATTGTCTGTGAATGCTTCCGTTTGTTTTTTAGATGAAGTTATTTCCTTTACTACAGTAGGCCTCAAAGCAGTCCAAATCTCCAATCGCAGATTCTACAAAAAGATTGTTTACAACCTGCTCTGTCTATAGGAATGTTCAACTCTGTGAGACGAATGCAATCATCACAAAGTAGTTTCTGAGAATGCTTCCATCTAGTTTTTATGTGAAGATTTTCCTTTTCCACCACAGGCCTCAAAGCCCTCCAAATGTCCACTTGCAGATTCTAGAAAAAGAGGGTTTCAGAGCTGCTCTGTCAAGAGGAAAGTTCAATTCTTGAAGTGGAACACAAACATCACAAAGCAGTTTCTGAGAATGCTCCTGTTTAGTTTTTCTGTGAAGATGAACCCGTTTCCAACGAAATCTTCACAGAGGTCCACATATCCACTTGCAGAATCCAAAGAAAGAGAGTTTCAAAACTCCTCCATCAGCAGGATTGTTCACGTCCGTGAGTTGAATGCAGTCATCACAGGAAACATTCTGAGAATGCTTCTGTCTAGGTTTGATGTGAAGATATACCCGTTTCGAAGGAAGGCCACAAAGTGGTCCAAATATCCACTTGCAGATTCCACAAAAAGAGTGTTTGAAAGCTGAACTATGAAAGCAAGGTTCAATTCTGTGAGTTGAATGCAAACATCACAGAGAAGTTTCTCACAATGCTTCCGTGTAGTTCTGGGAAGTTTATCCCGTTTCCAACGAAATCCTCAGAGAGGTCCAAATATCCACTTGCAGATTCTACAGAAAGTGTGTTTGGAAACTGCGCCATCTAAAGCAATGTTCAGCTCTGTTAGTTCAATGCAATGATCACTAAGAATTGTCTGTGAATGCTTCCGTTTGGTTTTTAGATGAAGTTATTTCCTTTACTACAGTAGGCCTCAAAGCAGTCCAAATCTCCAATCGCAGATTCTACAAAAAGATTGTTTACAACCTGCTCTATGTATAGGAATGTTCAACTCTGTGAGTCGAATGCAATCATCACAAAGTAGTTTCTGAGAATGCTTCCATCTAGTTTTTATGTGAAGATTTTCCTTTTCCACCACAGGCCTCAAAGCCCTCCAAATGTCCACTTGCAGATTCTAGAATAAGAGGGTTTCAGAGCTGCTCTGTCAAGAGGAAAGTTCAATTCCTGAAGTCGAACACAAACATCACAAAGCAGTTTCTGAGAATGCTTCTGTTTAGTTTTTCTGTGAAGATGAACCCGTTTCCAACGAAATCTTCACAGAGGTCCACATATCAACTTGCAGAATCCAAAGAAAGAGAGTTTCAAAAGTGCTCCATCAACAGGATTGTTCACCTCTGTGAGTTGAATGCAGTCATCACAGGAAACATTCTGAGAATGCTTCTGTCTAGGTTTGATGTGAAGATATACCCGTTTCGAAGGAAGGCCACAAAGTGGTCCAAATATCCACTTGCAGATTCTACAAAAAGAGTGTTTGAAAGCTGAACTATGAAAGCAAGGTTCAACTCTGTGAGTTGAATGCAAACATCACAAAGAAGTTTCTCACAATGCTTCCCTGTATTTCTGGGAAGCATATCCCTTTTCCAACGAAATCCTCAGAGAAGTCCAAATATCCACTTGCAGATTCTACAGAAAGTGGGTTTGGAAACTGCTCCATCTAAAGGAATGTTCAGCTCTGTTAGTTCAATCCAATGATCACTATGAATTTTCTGTGAATGCTTCCGTTTGGTTTTTAGATGAAGTTATTTCCTTTACTACAGTAGGCCTCAAAGCATTCCAAATCTCCAATCGCAGATTATACAAAAAGATTGTTTACAACCTGCTCTATCTATAGGAATGTTCAACTCTGTGAGTCGAATGCAATCATCACAAAGTAGTTTCTGAGAATGCTTCCATCTAGTTTTTATGTGAAGATTTTCCTTTTCCACCACAGGCCTCAAAGCCCTCCAAATGTCCACTTGCAGATTCTAGAAAAAGAGGGTTTCAGAGCTGCTCTGTCAAGAGGAAAGTTCAATTCCTGAAGTGGAACACAAACATCACAAAGCAGTTTCTGAGAATGCTCCTGTTTAGTTTTTCTGTGAAGATGAACCCGTTTCCAACAAAATCTTCACAGAGGTCCACATATCCAATTGCAGAATCCAAAGAAAGAGAGTTTCAAAAGTGCTCCATCAGCAGGATTGTTCACCTCTGTGAGTTGAATGCAGTCATCACAGGAAACATTCTGAGAATGCTTCTGTCTAGGTTTGATGTGAAGATATACCCGTTTCGAAGGAAGGCCACAAAGTGGTCCAAATATCCACTTGCAGATTCTACAAAAAGAGTGTTTGAAAGCTGAACTATGAAAGCAAGGTTCAACTCTGTGAGTTGAATGCAAACATCACAAAGAAGTTTCTCACAATGCTTCCGTGTAGTTCTGGGAAGTTTATCCCGTTTCCAACGAAATCCTCAGAGAAGTCCAAATATCCACTTGCAGATTCTACAGAAAGTGTGTTTGGAAACTGCGCCATCTAAAGGAATGTTCAGCTCTGTTAGTTCAATGCAATGATCACTAAGAATTGTCTGTGAATGCTTCCGTTTGGTTTTTAGATGAAGTTATTTCCTTTACTACAGTAGGCTTCAAAGCAGTCCAAATCTCCAATCGCAGATTCTACAAAAAGATTGTTTACAACCTGCTCTATCTATAGGAATGTTCAACTCTGTGAGTCGAATGCAATCATCACAAAGTAGTTTCTGAGAATGCTCTCCATCTAGTTTTTATGTGAAGATTTTCCTTTTCCACCACAGGCCTCAAAGCCCTCCAAATGTCCACGTGCAGATTCTAGAAAAGGAGGGTTTCAGAGCTGCTCTGTCAAGAGGAAAGTTCAATTCCTGAAGTGGAACACAAACATCACAAAGCAGTTTCTGAGAATGCTTCTGTTTAGTTTTTCTGTGAAGATGAACCCGTTTCCAACGAAATCTTCACAGAGGTCCACATATCCACTTGCAGAATCCAAAGAAAGAGAGTTTCAAAACTGCTCCATCAACAGGATTGTTCGCCTCTGTGAGTTGAATGCATTCATCACAGGAAACATTCTGAGAATGCTTCTGTCTAGGTTTGATGTGAAGATATACCCGTTTCGAAGGAAGGCCACAAAGTGGTCCAAATATCCACTTGCAGATTCTACAAAAAGAGTGTTTGAAAGCTGAACTATGAAAGCAAGGTTCAACTCTGTGAGTTGAATGCAAACATCACAAAGACGTTTCTCAGAATGCTTCCGTGTAGTTCTGGGAAGTTTATCCCGTTTCCAACGAAATCCTCAGAGAAGTCCCAATATCCACTTGCAGATTCTACAGAAAGTGTGTTTGGAAACTGCTCCATCTAAAGGAATGTTCAGCTCTGTTAGTTCAATCCAATGATCACTAAGAATTGTCTGTGAATGCTTCCGTTTGGTTTTTAGATGAAGTTATTTCCTTTACTACAGTAGGCCTCAAAGCAGTCCAAATCTCCAATCGCAGATTCTACAAAAAGATTGTTTACAACCTGCTCTATCTATAGGAATGTTCAACTCTGTGAGTCGAATGCCATCATCACAAAGTAGTTTCTGAGAATGCTTCCATCTAGTTTTTATGTGAAGATTTTCCTTTTCCACCACAGGCCTCAAAGCCCTCCAAATGTCCACTTGCAGATTCTAGAAAAAGAGGGTTTCAGAGCTGCTCTGTCAAGAGGAAAGTTCAATTCTTGAAGTGGAACACAAACATCACAAAGCAGTTTCTGAGAATGCTTCTGTTTAGTTTTTCTGTGAAGATGAACCCGTTTCCAACGAAATCTTCACAGAGGTCCACATATCCACTTGCAGAATCCAAAGAAAGAGAGTTTCAAAACTGCTCCATCAGCAGGATTGTTCACCTCTGTGAGTTGAATGCAGTCATCACAGGAAACATTCTGAGAATGCTTCTGTCTAGGTTTGATGTGAAGATATACCCGTTTCGAAGGAAGGCCACAAAGTGGTCCAAATATCCACTTGCAGATTCTACAAAAAGAGTGTTTGAAAGCTGAACTATGAAAGCAAGGTTCAACTCTGTGAGTTGAATGCAAACATCACAAAGAAGTTTCTCACAATGCTTCCGTGTAGTTCTGGGAAGTTTATCCCGTTTCCAACGAAATTCTCAGAGAAGTCCAAATATCCACTTGCAGATTCTACAGAAAGTGGGTTTGGAAACTGCTCCATCTAAAGGAATGTTCAGCTCTGTTAGTTCAATCCAATGATCACTAAGAATTGTCTGTGAATGCTTCTGTTTGGTTTTTAGATGAAGTTATTTCCTTTACTACAGTAGGCCTCAAAGCAGTACAAATCTCCAATCGCAGATTCTACAAAAAGATTGTTTACAACCTGCTCTATCTACAGGAATGTTCAACTCTGTGAGTCGAATGCAATCATCACAAAGTAGTTTCTGAGAATGCTTCCATCTAGTTTTTATGTGAAGATTTTCCTTTTCCACCACAGGCCTCAAAGCCCTCCAAATGTCCACTTGCAGATTCTAGAAAAAGAGGGTTTCAGAGCTGCTCTGTCAAGAGGAAAGTTCAATTCTTGAAGTGGAACACAAACATCACAAAGCAGTTTCTGAGAATGATCCTGTTTAGTTTTTCTGTGAAGATGAACCCGTTTCCAACGAAATCTTCACAGAGGTCCACATATCCACTTGCAGAATCCAAAGAAAGAGAGTTTCAAAACTGCTCCATCAGCAGGATTGTTCACCTCTGTGAGTTGAATGCAGTCATCACAGGAAACATTCTGAGAATGCTTCTGTCTAGGTTTGATGTGAAGATATACCCGTTTCGAAGGAAGGCCACAAAGTGGTCCAAATATCCACTTGCAGATTCTACAAAAAGAGTGTTTGAAAGCTGAACTATGAAAGCAAGGTTCAACTCTGTGAGTTGAATGCAAACATCACAAAGAAGTTTCTCACAATGCTTCCGTGTAGTTCTGGGAAGTTTATCCCGTTTCCAACGAAATCCTCAGAGAGGTCCAAATATCCACTTGCAGATTCTACAGAAAGTGTGTTTGGAAACTGCGCCATCTAAAGGAATGTTCAGCTCTGTTAGTTCAATGCAATGATCACTAAGAATTGTCTGTGAATGCTTCCGTTTGGTTTTTAGATGAAGTTATTTCCTTTACTACAGTAGGCCTCAAAGCAGTCCAAATCTCCAATCGCAGATTCTACAAAAAGATTGTTTACAACCTGCTCTATCTCTAGGAATGTTCAACTCTGTGAGTCGAATGCAATCATCACAAAGTAGTTTCTGAGAATGCTTCCATCTAGTTTTTATGTGAAGATTTTCCTTTTCCACCACAGGCCTCAAAGCCCTCCAAATGTCCACTTGCAGATTCTAGAAAAAGAGGGTTTCAGAGCTGCTCTGTCAAGAGGAAAGTTCATTTCCTGAAGTGGAACACAAACATCACAAAGCAGTTTCTGAGAATGCTTCTGTTTAGTTTTTCTGTGAAGATGAACCCGTTTCCAACGAAATCTTCACAGAGGTCCACATATCCACTTGCAGAATCCAAAGAAAGGGAGTTTCAAAACTGCTCCATCAGCAGGATTGTTCACCTCTGTGAGTTGAATGCAGTCATCACAGGAAACATTCTGAGAATGCTTCTGTCTAGGTTTGATGTGAAGATATACCCGTTTCGAAGGAAGGCCACAAAGTGGTCCAAATATCCACTTGCAGATTCTACAAAAAGAGTGTTTGAAAGCTGAACTATGAAAGCAAGGTTCAACTCTGTGAGTTGAATGCAAACATCACAAAGAAGTTTCTCAGAATGCTTCCGTGTAGTTCTGGGAAGTTTATCCCGTTTCCAACGAAATCCTCAGAGAAGTCCAAATATCCACTTGCAGATTCTACAGAAAGTGTGTTTGGAAACTGCTCCATCTAAAGGAATGTTCAGCTCTGTTAGTTCAATCCAATGATCACTAAGAATTGTCTGTGAATGCTTCCGTTTGGTTTTTAGATGAAGTTATTTCCTTTACTACAGTAGGCCTCAAAGCAGTCCAAATCTCCAATCGCAGATTCTACAAAAAGATTGTTTACAACCTGCTCTATCTATAGGAATGTTCAACTCTGTGAGTCGAATGCAATCATCACAAAGTAGTTTCTGAGAATGCTTCCATCTAGTTTTTATGTGAAGATTTTCCTTTTCCACCACAGGCCTCAAAGCCCTCCAAATGTCCACTTGCAGATTCTAGAATAAGAGGATTTCAGAGCTGCTCTGTCAAGAGGAAAGTTCAATAACTGAAGTGCAACACAAACATCACAAAGCAGTTTCTGAGAATGCTCCTGTTTAGTTTTTCTGTGAAGATGAACCCGTTTCCAATGAAATCTTCACAGAGGTCCACATATCCACTTGCAGAATCCAAAGAAAGAGAGTTTCAAAACTGCTCCAACAGCAGGATTGTTCACCTCTGTGAGTTGAATGCAGTCATCACAGGAAACATTCTGAGAATGCTTCTGTCTAGGTTTGATGTGAAGATATACCCGTTTCGAAGGAAGGCCACAAAGTGGTCCAAATATCCACTTGCAGATTCTACAAAAAGAGTGTTTGAAAGCTGAACTATGAAAGCAAGGTTCAACTCTGTGAGTTGAATGCAAACATCACAAAGAAGTTTCTCAGAATGCTTCCGTGTAGTTCTGGGAAATTTATCCCGTTTCCGACGAAATCCTCAGAGAGGTCCAAATATCCACTTGCAGATTCTACAGAAAGTGTGTTTGGAAACTGCGCCATCTAAAGGAATGTTCAGCTCTGTTAGTTCAATGCAATGATCACTAAGAATTGTCTGTGATTGCTTCCCGTTTGGTTTTTAGATGAAGTTATTTCCTTTACTACAGTAGGCCTCAAAGCAGTCCAAATCTCCAATCGCAGATTCTACAAAAAGATTGTTTTCAACCTGCTCTATCTATAGGAATGTTCAACTCTGTGAGTCGAATGCAAACATCACAAAGTAGTTTCTGAGAATGCTTCCATCTAGTTTTTATGTGAAGATTTTCCTTTTCCACCACAGGCCTCAAAGCCCTCCAAATGTCCACTTGCAGATTCTAGAAAAAGAGGGTTTCAGAGCTGCTCTGTCAAGAGGAAAGTTCAATTCTTGAAGTGGAACACAAACATCACAAAGCAGTTTCTGAGAATGTTTCTGTTTAGTTTTTCTGTGAAGATGAACCCGTTTCCAACGAAATCTTCACAGAGGTCCACATATCCACTTGCAGAATCCAAAGAAAGAGAGTTTCAAAACTGCTCCATCAGCAGGATTGTTCACCTCTGTGAGTTGAATGCAGTCATCACAGGAAACATTCTGAGAATGCTTCTGTCTAGGTTTGATGTGAAGATATACCCGTTTCGAAGGAAGGCCACAAAGTGGTCCAAATATCCACTTGCAGATTCTACAAAAAGAGTGTTTGAAAGCTGAACTATGAAAGCAAGGTTCAACTCTGTGAGTTGAATGCAAACATCACAAAGAAGTTTCTCAGAATGCTTCCGTGTAGTTCTGGGAAGTTTATCCCGTTTCCAACGAAATCCTCAGAGAGGTCCAAATATCCACTTGCAGATTCTACAGAAAGTGTGTTTGGAAACTGCGCCATCTAAAGGAATGTTCAGCTCTGTTAGTTCAATCCAATGATCACTAACAATTGTCTGTGAATGCTTCCGTTTGGTTTTTAGATGAAGTTATTTCCTTTACTACAGTAGGCCTCAAAGCAGTCCAAATCTCCAATCGCAGATTCCACAAAAAGATTGTTTTCAACCTGCTCTATCTATAGGAATGTTCAACTCTGTGAGTCGAATACAATCTTCACAAAGTAGTTTCTGAGAATGCTTCCATCTAGTTTTTATGTGAAGATTTTCCTTTTCCACCACAGGCCTCAAAGCCCTCCAAATGTCCACTTGCAGATTCTAGAATAAGAGGGTTTCAGAGCTGCTCTGTCAAGAGGAAAGTTCAATTCCTGAAGTGGAACACAAACATCACAAAGCAGTTTCTGAGAATGCTCCTGTTTAGTTTTTCTGTGAAGATGAACCCGTTTCCAACGAAACCTTCCCAGAGGTCCACATATCCACTTGCAGAATCCAAAGAAAGAGAGATTCAAAACTGCTCCATCAACAGGATTGTTCACCTCTGTGAGTTGAATGCAGTCATCACAGGAAACATTCTGAGAATGCTTCTGTCTAGGTTTGATGTGAAGATATACCCGTTTCGAAGGAAGGCCACAAAGTGGTCCAAATATCCACTTGCAGATTCTACAAAAAGAGTGTTTGAAAGCTGAACTAAGAAAGCAAGGTTCAACTCTGTGAGTTGAATGCAAACATCACAAAGAAGTTTCTCAGCATGCTTCCGTGTAGTTCTGGGAAGTTTATCCCGTTTCCAACGAAATCCTCAGAGAAGTCCAAATATCCACTTGCAGATTCTACAGAAAGTGTGTTTGGAAACTGCGCCATCTAAAGGAATGTTCAGCTCTGTTAGTTCAATCCAATGATCACTAAGAATTGTCTGTGAATGCTTCCGTTTGGTTTTTAGATGAAGTTATTTCCTTTACTACAGTAGGCCTCCAAGCAGTCCAAATCTCCAATCGCAGATTCTACAAAAAGATTGTTTGCAACCTGCTCTATCTATAGGAATGTTCAACTCTGTGAGTCGAATGCAATCATCACAAAGTAGTTTCTGAGAATGCTTCCAGCTAGTTTTTATGGGAAGATTTTCCTTTTCCACCACAGGCCTCAAAGCCCTCCAAATGTCCACTTGCAGATTCTAGAAAAAGAGGGTTTCAGAGCTGCTCTGTCAAAAGGAAAGTTCAATTCTTCAAGTGGAACACAAACATCACAAAGCAGTTTCTGAGAATGCTCCTGTTAATTTTTCTGTGAAGATGAACCCGTTTCCAACGAAATCTTCACAGTGTTCCACATATCCACTTGCAGAATCAAAAGAAAGGGAGTTTCAAAACGGCTCCATCAACAGGATTGTTCACCTCTGTGAGTTGAATGCAGTCATCACAGGAAACATTCTGAGAATGCTTCTGTCTAGGTTTGATGTGAAGATATACCCGTTTCGAAGGAAGGCCACAAAGTGGTCCAAATATCCACTTGCAGATTCTACAAAAAGAGTGTTTGAAAGCTGAACTATGAAAGCAAGGTTCAACTCTGTGAGTTGAATGCAAACATCACAAAGAAGTTTCTCAGAATGCTTCCCTGTAGTTCTGGGAATCATATCCCGTTTCCAACGAAATCCTCAGAGAAGTCCAAATATCCACTTGCAGATTCTACATAAAGTGGGTTTGGAAACTGCTCCATCTAAAGGAATGTTCAGCTCTGTTAGTTCAATCCAATGATCACTAAGAATTGTCTGTGAATGCTTCCGTTTGGTTTTTAGGTGAAGTTATTTCCTTTACTACAGTAGGCCTCAAAGCAGTCCAAATCTCCAATCGAAGATTCTACAAAAAGATTGTTTACAACCTGCTCTATCTATAGGAATGTTCAACTCTGTGAGTCGAATGCAATCATCACAAAGTAGTTTCTGAGAATGCTTCCATCTAGTTTTTATGTGAAGATTTTCCTTTTCCACCACAGGCCTCAAAACCCTCCAAATGTCCACTTGCAGATTCTAGAATAAGAGGGTTTCAGAGCTGCTCTGTCAAGAGGAAAGTTCAATTCCTGAAGTGGAACACAAACATCACAAAGCAGTTTCTGAGAATGCTTCTGTTTAGTTTTTCTGTGAAGATGAACCCGTTTCCAACGAAATCTTCACAGAGGTCCACATATCCACTTGCAGAATCCAAAGAAAGAGAGTTTCAAAACTGCTCCATCAGCAGGATTGTTCACCTCTGTGAGTTGAATGCAGTCATCACAGGAAACATTCTGAGAATGCTTCTGTCTAGGTTTGATGTGAAGATATACCCGTTTCGAAGGAAGGCCACAAAGTGGTCCAAATATCCACTTGCAGATTCTACAAAAAGAGTGTTTGAAAGCTGAACTATGAAAGCAAGGTTCAACTCTGTGAGTTGAATGCAAACATCACAAAGAAGTTTCTCACAATGCTTCCGTGTAGTTCTGGGAAGTTTATCCCGTTTCCAACGAAATCCTCAGAGAGGTCCAAATATCCACTTTCAGATTCTACAGAAAGTGTGTTTGGAAACTGCGCCATCTAAAGGAATGTTCAGCTCTGTTAGTTCAATGCAATGATCACTAAGAATTGTGCTGTGAATGCTTTCCGTTTGGTTTTTAGATGAAGTTATTTCCTTCACTACAGTAGGCCTCAAAGCAGTCCAAATCTCCAATCGCAGATTCTACAAAAAGATTGTTTACAACCTGCTCTATCTATAGGAATGTTCAACTCTGTGAGTCGAATGCAATCATCACAAAGTAGTTTCTGAGAATGCTTCCATAAAGTTTTTATGTGAAGATTTTCCTTTTCCACCACAGGCCTCAAAGCCCTCCAAATGTCCACTTGCAGATTCTAGAAAAAGAGGGTTTCAGAGCTGCTCTGTCAAGAGGAAAGTTCAATTCTTTTAGTGGAACACAAACATCACAAAGCAGTTTCTGAGAATGCTTCTGTTTAGTTTTTCTGTGAAAATGAACCCGTTTCCAACGAAATCTTCACAGAGGTCCACATATCCACTTGCAGAATCCAAAGAAAGAGAGATTCAAAACTGCTCCATCAACAGGATTGTTCACCTCTGTGAGTTGAATGCAGTCATCACAGGAAACATTCTGAGAATGCTTCTGTCTAGGTTTGATGTGAAGATATACCCGTTTCGAAGGAAGGCCACAAAGTGGTCCAAATATCCACTTGCAGATTCTACAAAAAGAGTGTTTGAAAGCTGAACTATGAAAGCAAGGTTCAACTCTGTGAGTTGAATGCAAACATCACAAAGAAGTTTCTCAGAATGCTTCCGTGTAGTTCTGGGAAGTTTATCCCGTTTCCAACGAAATCCTCAGAGAAGTCCAAATATCCACTTGCAGATTCTACAGAAAGTGTGTTTGGAAACTGCGCCATCTAAAGGAATGTTCAGCTCTGTTAGTTCAATGCAATGATCACTAAGAATTGTCTGTGAATGCTTCCGTTTGGTTTTTAGATGAAGTTATTTCCTTTACTGCAGTAGGCCTCAAAGCATTCCAAATCTCGAATCGCAGATTCTACAAAAAGATTGTTTACAACCTGCTCTATCTATAGGAATGTTCAACTCTGTGAGTCGAATGCAATCATCACAAAGTAGTTTCTGAGAATGCTTCCATCTAGTTTTTATGTGAAGATTTTCCTTTTCCACCACAGGCCTCAAAGCCCTCCAAATGTCCACTTCCAGATTCTAGAAAAAGAGGGTTTCAGAGCTGCTCTGTCAAAAGTAAAGTTCAATTCTTGAAGTGGAACACAAACATCACAAAGCAGTTTCTGAGAATGCTCCTGTTTAGTTTTTCTGTGAAGATGAACCCGTTTCCAACGAAATCTTCACAGAGGTCCACATATCCACTTGCAGAATCCAAAGAAAGAGAGTTTCAAAACTGCTCCATCAGCAGGATTGTTCACCTCTGTGAGTTGAATGCAGTCATCACAGGAAACATTCTGAGAATGCTTCTGTCTAGGTTTGATGTGAAGATTTACCCGTTTCGAAGGAAGGCCACAAAGTGGTCCAAATATCCACTTGCAGATTCCACAAAAAGAGTGTTTGAAAGCTGAACTATGAAAGCAAGGTTCAACTCTGTGAGTTGAATGCAAACATCACAAAGAAGTTTCTCAGAATGCTTCCGTGTAGTTCTGGGAAGTTTATCCCGTTTCCAACGAAATCCTCAGAGAAGTCCAAATATCCACTTGCAGATTCTACAGAAAGTGGGTTTGGAAACTGCTCCATCTAAAGGAATGTTCAGCTCTGTTAGTTCAATCCAATGATCACTAAGAATTGTCTGTGAATGCTTCCGTTTGGTTTTTAGATGAAGTTATTTCCTTTACTACAGTAGGCCTCAAAGCAGTCCAAATCTCCAATTGCAGATTCTACAAAAAGATTGTTTACAACCTGCTGTATCTATAGGAATGTTCAACTCTGTGAGTCGAATGCAATCATCACAAAGTAGTTTCTGAGAATGCTTCCATCTAGTTTTTATGTGAAGATTTTCCTTTTCCACCACAGGCCTCAAAGCCCTCCAAATGTCCACTTGCAGATTCTAGAATAAGAGGGTTTCAGAGCTGCTCTGTCAAGAGGAAAGTTCAATTCCTGAAGTGGAACACAAACATCACAAAGCAGTTTCTGAGAATGCTTCTGTTTAGTTTTTCTGTGAAGATGAACCCGTTTCCAACGAAATCTTCACAGAGGTCCACATATCCACTTGCAGAATCCAAAGAAAGAGAGTTTCAAAACTGCTCCATCAGCAGGATTGTTCACCTCTGTGAGTTGAATGCAGTCATCACAGGAAACATTCTGAGAATGCTTCTGTCTAGGTTTGATGTGAAGATATACCCGTTTCGAAGGAAGGCCACAAAGTGGTCCAAATATCCACTTGCAGATTCTACAAAAAGAGTGTTTGAAAGCTGAACTGTGAAAGCAAGGTTCAGCTCTGTGAGTTGAATGCAAACATCACAAAGAAGTTTCTCAGAATGCTTCCGTGTAGTTCTGGGAAGTTTAGCCCGTTTCCAACGAAATCCTCAGAGAAGTCCAAATATCCACTTGCAGATTCTACAGAAAGTGTGTTTGGAAACTGCTCCATCTAAAGGAATGTTCAGCTCTGTTAGTTCAATCCAATGATCACTAAGAATTGTCTGTGAATGCTTCCGTTTGGTTTTTAGATGAAGTTATTTCCTTTACTACAGTAGGCCTCAAAGCAGTCCAAATCTCCAATCGCAGATTCTACAAAAAGATTGTTTACAACCTGCTCTATCTATAGGAATGTTCAACTCTGTGAGTCGAATGCAATCATCACAAAGTAGTTTCTGAGAATGCTTCCATCTAGTTTGTATGTGAAGATTTTCCTTTTCCACCACAGGCCTCAAAGCCCTCCAAATGTCCACTTGCAGATTCTAGAATAAGAGGGTTTCAGAGCTGCTCTGTCAAGAGGAAAGTTCAATTCTTGAAGTGGAACACAAACATCACAAAGTAGTTTCTGAGAATGCTTCTGTTTAGTTTTTCTGTGAAGATGAACCCGTTTCCAACGAAATCTTCACAGAGGTCCACATATCCACTTGCAGAATCCAAAGAAAGGGAGTTTCAAAACTGCTCCATCAACAGGATTGTTCACCTCTGTGAGTTGAATGCAGTCATCACAGGAAACATTCTGAGAATGCTTCTGTCAAGGTTTGATGTGAAGATATACCCGTTTCGAAGGAAGGCCACAAAGTGGTCCAAATATCCACTTGCAGATTCTACAAAAAGAGTGTTTGAAAGCTGAACTATGAAAGCAAGGTTCAACTCTGTGAGTTGAATGCAACCATCACAAAGAAGTTTCTCAGAATACTTCCGTGTAGTTCTGGGAAGCATATCCCGTTTCCAACGAAATCCTCAGAGAAGTCCAAATATCCACTTGCAGATTCTACAGAAAGTGGGTTTGGAAACTGCGCCATCTAAAAGTATGTTCAGCTCTGTTAGTTCAATGCAATGATCACTAAGAATTGTCTGTGAATGCTTCCGTTTGGTTTTTAGATGAAGTTATATCCGTTACTACAGTAGGCCTCAAAGCAGTCCAAATCTCCAATCGCAGATTCTACAAAAAGATTGTTTACAACCTGCTCTATCTATAGGAATGTTCAACTCTGTGAGTCGAATGCAATCATCACAAAGTAGTTTCTGAGAATGCTTCCATCTAGTTTTTATGTGAAGATTTTCCTTTTCCACCACAG
The DNA here is from genome assembly GCF_000001405.40 of Homo sapiens. Taxonomy (NCBI): domain Eukaryota; kingdom Metazoa; phylum Chordata; class Mammalia; order Primates; family Hominidae; genus Homo; species Homo sapiens. The sequence continues at coordinate 52,212,996 of NC_000011.10, read as the reverse complement.
GCCTCAAAGCCCTCCAAATGTCCACTTGCAGATTCTAGAAAAAGAGGGTTTCAGAGCTGCTCTGTCAAGAGGAAAGTTCAATTCTTGAAGTGGAACACAAACATCACAAAGCAGTTTCTGAGAATGCTCCTGTTTAGTTTTTCTGTGAAGATGAACCCGTTTCCAACGAAATCTTCACAGAGGTCCACATATCCACTTGCAGAATCCAAAGAAAGAGAGTTTCAAAACTGCTCCATCAGCAGGATTGTTCACCTCTGTGAGTTGAATGCAGTCATCACAGGAAACATTCTGAGAATGCTTCTGTCTAGGTTTGATGTGAAGATATACCCGTTTCGAAGGAAGGCCACAAAGTGGTCCAAATATCCACTTGCAGATTCTACAAAAAGAGTGTTTGAAAGCTGAACTATGAAAGCAAGGTTCAACTCTGTGAGTTGAATGCAAACATCACAAAGAAGTTTCTCACAATGCTTCCGTGTAGTTCTGGGAAGTTTATCCCGTTTCCAACGAAATCCTCAGAGAGGTCCAAATATCCACTTGCAGATTCTACAGAAAGTGTGTTTGGAAACTGCGCCATCTAAAGGAATGTTCAGCTCTGTTAGTTCAATGCAATGATCACTAAGAATTGTCTGTGAATGCTTCCGTTTGGTTTTTAGATGAAGTTATTTCCTTTACTACAGTAGGCCTCAAAGCAGTCCAAATCTCCAATCGCAGATTCTACAAAAAGATTGTTTACAACCTGCTCTATCTATAGGAATGTTCAACTCTGTGAGTCGAATGCAATCATCACAAAGTAGTTTCTGAGAATGCTTCCATCTAGTTTTTATGTGAAGATTTTCCTTTTCCACCACAGGCCTCAAAGCCCTCCAAATGTCCACTTGCAGATTCTAGAAAAAGAGGGTTTCAGAGCTGCTCTGTAAAGAGGAAAGTTCAATTCCTGAAGTGGAACACAAACATCACAAAGCAGTTTCTGAGAATGCTTCTGTTTAGTTTTTCTGTGAAGATGAACCCGTTTCCAACGAAATCTTCACAGAGGTCCACATATCCACTTGCAGAATCCAAAGAAAGAGAGTTTCAAAACTGCTCCATCAGCAGGATTGTTCACCTCTGTGAGTTGAATGCAGTCATCACAGGAAACATTCTGAGAATGCTTCTGTCTAGGTTTGATGTGAAGATATACCCGTTTCGAAGGAAGGCCTCAAAGTGGTCCAAATATCCACTTGCAGATTATACAAATAGTGTGTTTGAAAGCTGAACTATGAAAGGAAGGTTCAACTCTGTGAGTTGAATGCAATCATCACAAAGTAGATTCTCAGAATGCTTCCGTGTAGTTCTGGGAAGTTTATCCCGTTTCCAACGAAATCCTCAGAGAGGTCCAAATATCCACTTGCAGATTCTACAGAAAGTGTGTTTGGAAACTGCGCCATCTAAAGGAGTGTTCAGCTCTGTTTGTTCAATCCAATGATCACTAAGAATTGTCTGTGAATGCTTCCGTTTGGTTTTTAGATGAAGTTATTTCCTTTACTACAGTAGGCCTCAAAGCAGTCCAAATCTCCAATCGCAGATTCTACTAAAAGATTGTTTACAACCTGCTCTATCTATAGGAATGTTCAACTCTGTGAGTCGAATGCAATCATCACAAAGTAGTTTCTGAGAATGCTTTCCATCTAGTTTTTATGTGAAGATTTTCCTTTTCCACCACAGGCCTCAAAGCCCTCCAAATGTCAACTTGCAGATTCTAGAAAAAGAGGGTTTCAGAGCTGCTCTGTCAAGAGGAAAGTTCAATTCCTGAAGTGGAACACAAACATCACAAAGCAGTTTCTGAGAATGCTTCTGTTTAGTTTTTCTGTGAAGATGAACCCGTTTCCAACGAAATCTTCACAGAGGTCCACATATCCACTTGCAGAATCCAAAGAAAGAGAGTTTCAAAACTGCTCCATCAGCAGGATTGTTCACCTCTGTGAGTTGAATGCAGTCATCACAGGAAACATTCTGAGAATGCTTCTGTCTAGGTTTGATGTGAAGATATACCCGTTTCGAAGGAAGGCCACAAAGAGGTCCAAATATCCACTTGCAGATTCTACAAAAAGAGTGTTTGAAAGCTGAACTATGAAAGCAAGGTTCAACTCTGTGAGTTGAATGCAAACATCACAAAGAAGTTTCTCAGAATGCTTCCGTGTAGTTCTGGGAAGTTTATCCCGTTTCCAACGAAATCCTCAGAGAGGTCCAAATATCCACTTGCAGATTCTACAGAAAGTGGGTATGGAAACTGCTCCATCTAAAGGAATGTTCCGCTCTGTTAGTTCAATGCAATGATCACTAAGAATTGTCTGTGAATGCTTCCGTTTGGTTTTTAGATGAAGTTATTTCCTTTACTACAGTAGGCCTCAAAGCAGTCCAAATCTCCAATCGCAGATTCTACAAAAAGATTGTTTTCAACCTGCTCTATCTATAGGAATGTTCAACTCTGTGAGTCGAATGCAATCATCACAAAGTAGTTTCTGAGAATGCTTCCATCTAGTTTTTATGTGAACATTTTCCTTTTCCACCACAGGCCTCAAAGCCCTCCAAATGTCCACTTGCAGATTCTAGAAAAAGAGGGTTTCAGAGCTGCTCTGTCAAGAGGAAAGTTCAATTCTTGAAGTGGAACACAAACATCACAAAGCAGTTTCTGAGGATTCTCCTGTTTAGTTTTTCTGTGAAGATGAACCCGTTTCCAACGAAATCTTCACAGAGGTCCACATATCCACTTGCAGAATCCAAAGAAAGAGAGTTTCCTAACTGCTCCATCAGCAGGATTGTTCACCTCTGTGAGTTGAATGCAGTCATCACAGGAAACATTCTGAGAATGCTTCTGTCTAGGTTTGATGAGAAGATATACCCGTTTCGAAGGAAGGCCACAAAGTGGTCCAAATATCCACTTGCAGATTCTACAAAAAGAGTGTTTGAAAGCTGAACTATGAAAGCAAGGTTCCACTCTGTGAGTTGAATGCAAACATCACAAAGAAGTTTCTCAGCATGCTTCCGTGTAGTTCTGGGAAGTTTATCCCTTTTCCAACGAAATCCTCAGAGAGGTCCAAATATCCACTTGCAGATTCTACAGAAAGTGTGTTTGGAAACTGCGCCATCTAAAGGAATGTTCAGCTCTGTTAGTTCAATGCAATGATCACTAAGAATTGTCTGTGAATCCTTCCGTTTGGTTTTTAGGTGAAGTTATTTCCTTTACTACAGTAGGCCTCAAAGCAGTCCAAATCTCCAATCGCAGATTCTACAAAAAGATTGTTTACAACCTTCTCTATCTATAGGAATGTTCAACTCTGTGAGTCGAATGCAATCATCACAAAGTAGTTTCTGAGAATGCTTCCATCTAGTTTTTATGGGAAGATTTTCCTTTTCCACCACAGGCCTCAAAGCCCTCCAAATGTCCACTTGCAGATTCTAGAAAAAGAGGGTTTCAGAGCTGCTCTGTCAAGAGGAAAGTTCAATTCTTGAAGTGGAACACAAACATCACAAAGCAGTTTCTGAGAATGCTCCTGTTAATTTTTCTGTGAAGATGAACCCGTTTCCAACGAAATCTTCACAGAGTTCCACATATCCACTTGCAGAATCAAAAGAAAGGGAGTTTCAAAACGGCTCCATCAACAGGATTGTTCACCTCTGTGAGTTGAATGCAGTCATCACAGGAAACATTCTGAGAATGCTTCTGTCTAGGTTTGATGTGAAGATATACCCGTTTCGAAGGAAGGCCACAAAGTGGTCCAAATATCCACTTGCAGATTCTACAAAAAGAGTGTTTGAAAGCTGAACTATGAAAGCAAGGTTCAACTCTGTGAGTTGAATGCAAACATCACAAAGAAGTTTCTCAGAATGCTTCCGTGTAGTTCTGGGAAGTTTATCCCGTTTCCAACGAAATCCTCAGAGAGGTCCAAATATCCACTTGCAGATTCTACAGAAAGTGTGTTTGGAAACTGCTCCATCTAAAGGAATGTTCAGCTCTGTTAGTTCAATCCAATGATCACTAAGAATTGTCTGTGAATGCTTCCGTTTGGTTTTTAGATGAAGTTATTTCCTTTACTACAGTAGGCCTCAAAGCAGTCCAAATCTCCAATCGCAGATTCTACAAAAAGATTGTTTACAACCTGCTCTATCTATAGGAATGTTCAACTCTGTGAGTCGAATGCAATCATCACAAAGTAGTTTCTGAGAATGCTTCCATCTAGTTTTTATGTGAAGATTTTCCTTTTCCACCACAGGCCTCAAAGCCCTCCAAATGTCCACTTGCAGATTCTAGAATAAGAGGGTTTTAGAGCTGCTCTGTCAAGAGGAAAGTTCAATTCCTGAAGTGGAACACAAACATCACAAAGCAGTTTCTGAGAATGCTCCTGTTTAGTTTTTCTGTGAAGATGAACCCGTTTCCAACGAAATCTTCACAGAGGTCCACATATCCACTTGCAGAATCCAAAGAAAGAGAGTTTCAAAACTGCTCCATCAGCAGGATTGTTCACCTCTGTGAGTTGAATGCAGTCATCACAGGAAACATTCTGAGAATGCTTCTGTCTGGGTTTGATGTGAAGATATACCCGTTTCGAACGAAGGCCACAAAGTGGTCCAAATATCCACTTGCAGATTCTACAAAAAGAGTGTTTGAAAGCTGAACTATGAAAGCAAGGTTCAACCCTGTGAGTTGAATGCAAACATCACAAAGAAGTTTCTCACAATGCTTCCGTGTAGTTCTGGGAAGTTTATCCCGTTTCCAACGAAATCCTCAGAGAAGTCCAAATATCCACTTGCAGATTCTGCAGAAAGTGTGTTTGGAAACTGCTCCATCTAAAGGAATGTTCAGCTCTGTTAGTTCAATCCAATGATCACTAAGAATTGTCTGTGAATGCTTCCGTTTGGTTTTTAGATGAAGTTATTTCCTTTACTACAGTAGGCCTCAAAGCAGTCCAAATCTCCAATCGCAGATTCTACAAAAACATTGTTTACAACCTGCTCTATCTATAGGAATGTTCAACTCTGTGAGTCGAATGCAATCATCACAAAGTAGTTTCTGAGAATGCTTCCATCTAGTTTTTATGGGAAGATTTTCCTTTTCCACCACAGGCCTCAAAGCCCTCCAAATGTCCACTTGCAGATTCTAGAAAAAGAGGGTTTCAGAGCTGCTCTGTCAAGAGGAAAGTTCAATTCTTGAAGTGGAACACAAACATCACAAAGCAGTTTCTGAGAATGCTCCTGTTTAGTTTTTCTGTGAAGATGAACCCGTTTCCAACGAAATCTTCACAGAGGTCCACATATCCACTTGCAGAATCCAAAGAAAGAGAGTTTCAAAACTGCTCCATCAGCAGGATTGTTCACCTCTGTGAGTTGAATGCAGTCATCACAGGAAACATTCTGAGAATGCTTCTGTCTAGGTTTGATGTGAAGATGTACCCGTTTCAAAGGAAGGCCACAAAGTGGTCCAAATATCCACTTGCAGATTCTACAAAAAGAGTGTTTGAAAGCTGAACTATGAAAGCAAGGTTCAACTCTGTGAGTTGAATGCCAACATCAGAAAGATGATTCTCACAATGCTTCCGTGTAGTTCTGGGAAGTTTATCCCGTTTCCAACGAAATCCTCAGAGAAGTCCAAATATCCACTTGCAGATTCTGCAGAAAGTGTGTTTGGAAACTGCTCCATCTAAAGGAATGTTCAGCTCTGTTAGCTCAATCCAATGATCACTAAGAATTGTCTGTGAATGCTTCCGTTTGGTTTTTAGATGAAGTTATTTCCTTTACTACAGTAGGCCTCAAAGCAGTCCAAATTTCCAATCGCAGATTGTACAAAAACATTGTTTACAACCTGCTCTATCTATAGTAATGTTCAACTCTGTGAGTCGAATGCAATCATCACAAAGTAGTTTCTGAGAATGCTTCCATCTAGTTTTTATGGGAAGATTTTCCTTTTCCACCACAGGCCTCAAAGCCCTCCAAATGTCCACTTGCAGATTCTAGAAAAAGAGGGTTTCAGAGCTGCTCTGTCAAGAGGAAAGTTCAATTCTTGAAGTGGAACACAAACATCACAAAGCAGTTTCTGAGAATGCTCCTGTTTAGTTTTTCTGTGAAGATGAACCCGTTTCCAACGAAATCTTCACAGAGGTCCACATATCAACTTGCAGAATCCAAAGAAAGAGAGTTTCAAAACTGCTCCATCAGCAGGATTGTTCACCTCTGTGAGTTGAATGCAGTCATCACAGGAAACATTCTGAGAATGCTTCTGTCTAGGTTTGATGTGAAGATATACCCGTTTCGAAGGAAGGCCACAAAGTGGTCCAAATATCCACTTGCAGATTCTACAAAAAGAGTGTTTGAAAGCTGAACTATGAAAGCAAGGTTCAACTCTGTGAGTTGAATGCAAACATCACAAAGAAGTTTCTCAGCATGCTTCCGTGTAGTTCTGGGAAGTTTATCCCGTTTCCAACGAAATCCTCAGAGAGGTCCAAATATCCACTTGCAGATTCTACAGAAAGTGGGTTTGGAAACTGCGCCATCTAAAGCAATGTTCAGCTCTGTTAGTTCAATGCAATGATCACTAAGAATTGTCTGTGAATGCTTCCGTTTGGTTTTTAGATGAAGTTATTTCCTTTACTACAGTAGGCCTCAAAGCAGTCCAAATCTCCAATCGCAGATTCTACAAAAAGATTGTTTACAACCTGCTCTATGTATAGGAATGTTCAACTCTGTGAGTCGAATGCAATCATCACAAAGTAGTTTCTGAGAATGCTTCCATCTAGTTTTTATGTGAAGATTTTCCTTTTCCACCACAGGCCTCAAAGCCCTCCAAATGTCCACTTGCAGATTCTAGAATAAGAGGGTTTCAGAGCTGTTCTGTCAAGAGGAAAGTTCAATTCCTGAAGTGGAACACAAACATCACAAAGCAGTTTCTGAGAATGCTTCTGTTTAGTTTTTCTGTGAAGATGAACCCGTTTCCAACGAAATCTTCACAGACGTCCACATATCCACTTGCAGAATCCAAAGAAAGAGAGTTTCAAAAGTGCTCCATCGACAGGATTGTTCACCTCTGTGAGTTGAATGCAGTCATCACAGGAAACATTCTGAGAATGCTTCTGTCTAGGTTTGATGTGAAGATATACCCGTTTCGAAGGAAGGCCACAAAGTGGTCCAAATATCCACTTGCAGATTCTACAAAAAGAGTGTTTGAAAGCTGAACTATGAAAGCAAGGTTCAACTCTGTGAGTTGAATGCAAACATCACAAAGAAGTTTCTCAGAATGCTTCCGTGTAGTTCTGGGAAGTTTATCCCGTTTCCAACGAAATCCTCAGAGAGGTCCAAATATCCACTTGCAGATTCTACAGAAAGTGTGTTTGGAAACTGCGCCATCTAAGGGAATGTTCAGCTCTGTTAGTTCAATCCAATGATCACTAAGAATTGTCTGTGAATGCTTCCGTTTGGTTTTTAGATGAAGTTATTTCCTTTACTACAGTAGGCCTCAAAGCAGTCCAAATCTCCAATCGCAGATTCTACAAAAAGATTGTTTACAACCTACTCTATCTATAGGAATGTTCAACTCTGTGGGTCGAATGCAATCATCACAAAGTAGTTTCTGATAATGCTTCCATCTAGTTTTTATGTGAAGATTTTCCTTTTCCACCACAGGCCTCAAAGCCCTCCAAATGTCCACTTGCAGATTCTAGAAAAAGAGGGTTTCAGAGCTGCTCTGTCAAGAGGAAAGTTCAATTCTTGAAGTGGAACACAAACATCACAAAGCAGTTTCTGAGAATGCTTCTGTTTAGTTTTTCTGTGAAGATGAACCCGTTTCCAATGAAATCTTCACAGAGGTCCACATATCAACTTGCAGAATCCAAAGAAAGAGAGTTTCAAAACTGCTCCATCAACAGGATTGTTCACCTCTGTGAGTTGAATGCAGTCATCACAGGAAACATTCTGAGAATGCTTCTGTCTAGGTTTGATGTGAAGATATACCCGTTTCGAAGGAAGGCCACAAAGTGGTACAAATATCCACTTGCAGATTCTACAAAAAGAGTGTTTGAAAGCTGAACTATGAAAGCAAGGTTCAACTCTGTGAGTTGAATGAAAACATCACAAAGAAGTTTCTCAGAATGCTTCCGTGTAGTTCTGGGAAGTTTATCCCGTTTCCAACGAAATCCTCAGAGAAGTCCAAATATCCACTTGCAGATTCTACAGAAAGTGTGTTTGGAAACTGCTCCATCTAAAGGAATGTTCAGCTCTGTTAGTTCAATGCAATGATCACTAAGAATTGTCTGTGAATGCTTCCGTTTGGTTTTTAGATGAAGTTATTTCCTTTACTACAGTAGGCCTCAAAGCAGTCCAAATCTCCAATCGCAGATTCTACAAAAAGATTGTTTACAACCTGCTCTATCTATAGGAATGTTCAACTCTGTGAGTCGAATGCAATCATCACAAAGTAGTTTCTGAGAATGCTTCCATCTAGTTTTTATGTGAAGATTTTCCTTTTCCACCACAGGCCTCGAAGCCCTCCAAATGTCCACTTGCAGATTCTAGAAAAAGAGGGTTTCAGAGCTGCTCTGTCAAGAGGAAAGTTCAATTCCTGAAGTGGAACACAAACATCACAAAGCAGTTTCTGAGAATGTTCCTGTTTAGTTTTTCTGTGAAGATGAACCCGTTTCCAACGAAATCTTCACAGAGGTCCACATATCCACTTGCAGAATCCAAAGAAAGAGAGTTTCAAAACTGCTCCATCAGCAGGATTGTTCACCTCTGTGAGTTGAATGCAGTCATCACAGGAAACATTCTGAGAATGCTTCTGTCTAGGTTTGATGTGAAGATATACCCGTTTCGAAGGAAGGCCACAAAGTGGTCCAAATATCCACTTGCAGATTCTACAAAAAGAGTGTTTGAAAGCTGAACTATGAAAGCAAGGTTCAACTCTGTGAGTTGAATGCAAACATCACAAAGAAGTTTCTCACAATGCTTCCGTGTAGTTCTGGGAAGTTTATCCCGTTTCCAACGAAATCCTCAGAGAAGTCCAAATATCCACTTGCAGATTCTACAGAAAGTGGGTTTGGAAACTGCTCCATCTAAAGGAATGTTCAGCTCTGTTAGTTCAATCCAATGATCACTAAGAATTGTCTGTGAATGCTTCCGTTTGGTTTTTAGATGAAGTTATTTCCTTTACTACAGTAGGCCTCAAAGCAGTCCAAATCTCCAATCGCAGATTCTACAAAAAGATTGTTTACAACCTGCTCTATCTATAGGAATGTTCAACTCTGTGAGTCGAATGCAATCATCACAAAGTAGTTTCTGAGAATGCTTCCATCTAGTTTTTATGTGAAGATTTTCCTTTTCCACCACAGGCCTCAAAGCCCTCCAAATGTCCACTTGCAGTTTCTAGAATAAGAGGGTTTCAGAGCTGCTCTGTCAAGAGGAAAGTACAATTCCTGAAGTGGAACACAAACATCACAAAGCAGTTTCTGATAATGCTTCTGTTTAGTTTTTCTGTGAAGATGAACCCGTTTCCAACGAAATCTTCACAGAGGTCCACATATCCACTTGCAGAATCCAAAGAAAGAGAGTTTCAAAACTGCTCCATCAGCAGGATTGTTCACCTCTGTCAGTTGAATGCAGTCATCACAGGAACCATTCTGAGAATGCTTCTGTCTAGGTTTGATGTGAAGATATACCCGTTTCGAAGGAAGGCCACAAAGTGGTCCAAATATCCACTTGCAGATTCTACAAAAAGAGTGTTTGAAAGCTGAACTATGAAAGCAAGGTTCAACTCTGTGAGTTGAATGCAAACATCACAAAGAAGTTTCTCACAATGCTTCCGTGTAGTTCTGGGAAGTTTATCCCGTTTCCAACGAAATCCTCAGAGAGGTCCAAATATCCACTTGCAGATTCAACAGAAAGTGTGTTTGGAAACTGCGCCACCTAAAGGAATGTTCAACTCTGTTAGTTCAATGCAATGATCACTAAGAATTGTGCTGTGAATGCTTCCGTTTGGTTTTTAGATGAAGTTATTTCCTTTACTACAGTAGGCCTCAAAGCAGTCCAAATCTCCAATCGCAGATTCTACAAAAAGATTGTTTACAACCTGCTCTATCTATAGGAATGTTCAACTCTGTGAGTCGAATGCAATCATCACAAAGTAGTTTCTGAGAATGCTTCCATCTAGTTTTTATGTGAAGATTTTCCTTTTCCACCACAGGCCTCAAAGCCCTCCAAATGTCCACTTGCAGATTCTAGAATAAGAGGGTTTCAGAGCTGCTCTGTCAAGAGGAAAGTTCAATTCCTGAAGTGGAACACAAACATCACAAAGCAGTTTCTGAGAATACTCCTGTTTAGTTTTTCTGTGAAGATGAACCCGTTTCCAACGAAATCTTCACAGAGGTCCACATATCCACTTGCAGAATCCAAAGAAAGAGAGTTTCAAAACTGCTCCATCAGAAGGATTGTTCACCTCTGTGAGTTGAATGCAGTCATCACAGGAAACATTCTGAGAATGCTTCTGTCTAGGTTTGATGTGAAGATATACCCGTTTCGAAGGAAGGCCACAAAGTGGTCCAAATATCCACTTGCAGATTCTACAAAAAGAGTGTTTGAAAGCTGAACTATGAAAGCAAGGTTCAACTCTGTGAGTTGAATGCAAACATCACAAAGAAGTTTCTCACAATGCTTCCGTGTAGTTCTGGGAAGTTTATCCCGTTTCCAACGAAATCCTCAGAGAAGTCCAAATATCCACTTGCAGATTCTACAGAAAGTGGGTTTGGAAACTGCTCCATCTAAAGGAATGTTCAGCTCTGTTAGTTCAATCCAATGATCACTAAGAATTGTCTGTGAATGCTTCCGTTTGGTTTTTAGATGAAGTTATTTCCTTTACTACAGTAGGCCTCAAAGCAGTCCAAATCTCCAATCGCAGATTCTACAAAAAGATTGTTTACAACCTGCTCTATCTATAGGAATGTTCAACTCTGTGAGTCGAAAGCCATCATCACAAAGTAGTTTCTGAGAATGCTTCCATCTAGTTTTTATGTGAAGATTTTCCTTTTCCACCACAGGCCTCAAAGCCCTCCAAATGTCCACTTGCAGATTCTAGAATAAGAGGGTTTCAGAGCTGTTCTGTCAAGAGGAAAGTTCAATTCCTGAAGTGGAACACAAACATCACAAAGCAGTTTCTGAGAATGCTTCTGTTTAGTTTTTCTGTGAAGATGAACCCGTTTCCAACGAAATCTTCACAGAGGTCCACATATCCACTTGCAGAATCCAAAGAAAGAGAGTTTCAAAACTGCTCCATCAACAGGATTGTTCACCTCTGTGAGTTGAATGCAGTCATCACAGGAAACATTCTGAGAATGCTTCTGTCTAGGTTTGATGTGAAGATATACCCGTTTCGAAGGAAGGCCACAAAGTGGTCCAAATATCCACTTGCAGATTCTACAAAAAGAGTGTTTGAAAGCTGAACTATGAAAGCAAGGTTCAACTCTGTGAGTTGAATGCAAACATCACAAAGAAGTTTCTCAGAATGCTTCCGTGTAGTTCTGGGAAGTTTATCCCGCTTCCAAAGAAATCCTCAGAGAAGTCCAAATATCCACTTGCAGATTCTACAGAAAGTGTGTTTGGAAACTGCTCCATCTAAAGGAATATTCAGCTCTGTTAGTTCAATCCAATGATCACTAAGAATTGTCTGTGAATGCTTCCGTTTGGTTTTTAGATGAAGTTATTTCCTTTACTACAGTAGGCCTCAAAGCAGTCCAAATCTCCAATCGCAGATTCTACAAAAAGATTGTTTACAACCTGCTCTATCTGTAGGAATGTTCAACTCTGTGAGTCGAATGCAATCATCACAAAGGAGTTTCTGAGAATGCTTCCATCTAGTTTTTATGTGAAGAGTTTCCTTTTCCACCACAGGCCTCAAAGCCCTCCAAATGTCCACTTGCAGATTCTAGAAAAAGAGGGTTTCAGAGCTGCTCTGTCAAGAGGAAAGTTCAATTCTTGAAGTGGAACACAAACATCACAAAGCAGTTTCTGAGAATGCTCCTGTTTAGTTTTTCTGTGAAGATGAACCCGTTTCCAACGAAATCTTCACAGAGGTCCACATATCCACTTGCAGAATCCAAAGAAAGAGAGTTTCAAAACTGCTCCATCAGCAGGATTGTTCACCTCTGTGAGTTGAATGCAGTCATCACAGGAAACATTCTGAGAATGCTTCTGTCTAGGTTTGATGTGAAGATATACCCGTTTCGAAGGAAGGCCACAAAGTGGTCCAAATATCCACTTGCAGATTCTACAAAAAGAGTGTTTGAAAGCTGAACTATGAAAGCAAGGTTCAACTCTGTGAGTTGAATGCAAACATCACAAAGAAGTTTCTCAGAATGCTTCCGTGTAGTTCTGGGAAGTTTATCCCGTTTCCAACGAAATCCTCAGAGAAGTCCAAATATCCACTTGCAGATTCTACATAAAGTGTGTTTGTAAACTGCTCCATCTAAAGGAATGTTCAGCTCTGTTAGTTCAATCCAATGATCACTAAGAATTGTCTGTGAATGCTTCCGTTTGGCTTTTAGATGAAGTTATTTCCTTTACTACAGTAGGCCTCAAAGCAGTCCAAATCTCCAATCGCAGATTCTACAAAAAGATTGTTTACAACCTGCTCTATCTATAGGAATGTTCAACTCTGTGAGTCGAATGCAATCATCACAAAGTAGTTTCTGAGAATGCTTCCATCTAGTTTTTATGTGAAGATTTTCCTTTTCCACCACAGGCCTCAAAGCCCTCCAAATGTCCACTTGCAGATTCTAGAAAAAGAGGGTTTCAGAGCTGCTCTGTCAAGAGGAAAGTTCAATTCTTGAAGTGGAACACAAACATCACAAAGCAGTTTCTGAGAATGCTCCTGTTATTTTTTCTGTGAAGATGAACCCGTTTCCAACGAAATCTTCACAGAGGTCCACATATCCACTTGCAGAATCCAAAGAAAGAGAGTTTCAAAAGTGCTCCATCAGCAGGATTGTTCACCTCTGTGAGTTGAATGCAGTCATCACAGGAAACATTCTGAGAATGCTTCTGTCTAGGTTTGATGTGAAGATATACCCGTTTCGAAGGAAGGCCACAAAGTGGTCCAAATATCCACTTGCAGATTCTACAAAAAGAGTGTTTGAAAGCTGAACTATGAAAACAACGTTCAACTCTGTGAGTTGAATGCAAACATCACAAAGAAGTTTCTCACAATGCTTCCCTGTAGTTCTGAGAAGTTTATCCCGTTTCCAACGAAATCCTCAGAGAAGTCCAAATATCCACTTGCAGATTCTACAGAAAGTGTGTTTGGAAACTGCTCCATCTAAAGGAATGTTCAGCTCTGTTAGTTCAATCCAATGATCACTAAGAATTGTCTGTGAATGCTTCCGTTTGGTTTTTAGATGAAGTTATTTCCTTTACTACAGTAGGCCTCAAAGCAGTCCAAATCTCCAATCGCAGATTCTACAAAAAGATTGTTTACAACCTGCTCTACCTATAGGAATGTTCAACTCTGTGAGTCGAATGCAATCATCACAAAGTAGTTTCTGAGAATGCTTCCATCTAGTTTTTATGTGAAGATTTTCCTTTTCCACCACAGGCCTCAAAGCCCTCCAAATGTCCACTTGCAGATTCTAGAAAAAGAGGGTTTCAGAGCTGCTCTGTCAAGAGGAAAGTTCAATTCTTGAAGTGGAACACAAACATCACAAAGCAGTTTCTGAGAATGCTCCTGTTTTGTTTTTCTGTGAAGATGAACCCGTTTCCAACGAAATCTTCACAGAGGTCCACATATCCACTTGCAGAATCCAAAGAAAGAGAGTTTCAAAACTGCTCCATCAGCAGGATTGTTCACCTCTGTGAGTTGAATGCAGTCATCACAGGAAACATTCTGAGAATGCTTCTGTCTAGGTTTGATGTGAAGATATACCCTTTTCAAAGGAAGGCCACAAAGTGGTCCAAATATCCACTTGCAGATTCTACAAAAAGAGTGTTTGAAAGCTGAACTATGAAAGCAAGGTTCAACTCTGTGAGTTGAATGCAAACATCACAAAGAAGTTTCTCACAATGCTTCCGTGTAGTTCTGGGAAGTTTATCCCGTTTCCAACGAAATCCTCAGAGAAGTCCAAATATCTACTTGCAGATTCTAGAGAAGGTGGGTTTGGAAACTGCTCCATCTAAAGGAATGTTCAGCTCAGTTAGTTCAATCCAATGATCACTAAGAATTGTCTGTGAATGCTTCCGTTTGGTTTTTAGATGAAGTTATTTCCTTTACTACAGTAGGCCTCAAAGCAGAACAAATCTCCAATCGCAGATTCTACAAAAAGATTGTTTACAACCTGCTCTATCTATAGGAATGTTCAACTCTGTGAGTCGAATGCAATCATCACAAAGTAGTTTCTGAGAATGCTTCCATCTAGTTTTTATGTGAAGATTTTCCTTTTCCACCACAGGCCTCAAAGCCCTCCAAATGTCCACTTGCAGATTCTAGAATAAGAGGGTTTCAGAGCTGCTCTGTCAAGAGGAAAGTTCAATTCCTGAAGTGGAACACAAACATCACAAAGCAGTTTCTGAGAATGCTTCTGTTTAGTTTTTCTGTGAAGATGAACTCGTTTCCAACGAAATCTTCACAGAGGTCCACATATCCACTTGCAGAATCCAAAGAAAGGGAGTTTCAAAACTGCTCCATCAGCAGGATTGTTCACCTCTGTGAGTTGAATGCAGTCATCACAGGAAACATTCTGAGAATGCTTCTGTCTAGGTTTGATGTGAAGATATACCCGTTTCGAAGGAAGGCCACAAAGTGGTCCAAATATCCACTTGCAGATTCTACAAAAAGAGTGTTTGAAAGCTGAACTATGAAAGCAAGGTTCAACTCTGTGAGTTGAATGCAAACATCACAAAGAAGTTTCTCAGAATGCTTCCGTGTAGTTCTGGGAAGTTTATCCCGTTTCCAACGAAATCCTCAGAGAGGTCCAAATATCCACTTGCAGATTCTACAGAAAGTGTGTGTGGAAACTGCGCCATCTAAAGGAATGTTCAGCTCTGTTAGTTCAATCCAATGATCACTAAGAATTGTCTGTGAATGCTTCCGTTTGGTTTTTAGATGAAGTTATTTCCTTTACTACAGTAGGCCTCAAAGCAGTCCAAATCTCCAATCGCAGATTCTACAAAAAGATTGTTTACAACCTGCTCTATCTATAGGAATGTTCAACTCTGTGAGTCGAATGCAATCATCACAAAGTAGTTTCTGAGAATGCTTCCATCTAGTTTTTATGTGAAGATTTTCCTTTTCCACCACAGGCCTCAAAGCCCTCCAAATGTCCACTTGCAGATTCTAGAATAAGAGGATTTCAGAGCTGCTCTGTCAAGAGGAAAGTTCAATTCCTGAAGTGGAACACAAACATCACAAAGCAGTTTCTGAGAATGCTTCTGTTTAGTTTTTCTGTGAAGATGAACCCGTTTCCAACGAAATCTTCACAGAGGTCCAGATATCCACTTGCAGAATCCAAAGAAAGAGAGTTTCAAAACTGCTCCATCAGCAGGATTGTTCAGCTCTGTGAGTTGAATGCAGTCATCACAGGAAACATTCTGAGAATGCTTCTGTCTAGGTTTGATGTGAAGATATACCCGTTTCGAAGGAAGGCCACAAAGTGGTCCAAATATCCACTTGCAGATTCTACAAAAAGAGTGTTTGAAAGCTGAACTATGAAAGCAAGGTTCAACTCTGTGAGTTGAATGCAAACATCACAAAGAAGTTTCTCAGAATGCTTCCGTGTAGTTCTGGGAAGCATATCCCGTTTCCAACGAAATCCTCAGAGAGGTCCAAATATCCACTTGCATATTCTACAGAAAGTGGGTTTGGAAACTGCTCCATCTAAAGGAATGTTCAGCTCTGTTAGTTCAATCCAATGATCACTAAGAATTTTAAGTGAATGCTTCCGTTTGGTTTTTAGATGAAGTTATTTCCTTTACTACAGTAGGCCTCAAAGCAGTCCAAATCTCCAATCGCAGATTCTACAAAAAGATTGTTTACAACCTGCTCTATCTATAGGAATGTTCAACTCTGTGAGTCGAATGCAATCATCACAAAGTAGTTTCTGAGAATGCTTCCATCTAGTTTTTATGTGAAGATTTTCCTTTTCCACCACAGGCCTCAAAGCCCTCCAAATGTCCACTTGCAGATTCTAGAAAAAGAGGGTTTCAGAGCTGCTCTGTCAAGAGGAAAGTTCAATTCTTGAAGTGGAACAGAAACATCACAAAGCAGTTTCTGGGAATGCTTCTGTTTAGTTTTTCTGTGAAGATGAACCCTTTTCCAACGAAATCTTCACAGAGGTCCACATATCCACTTGCAGAATCCAAAGAAAGAGAGTTTCAAAACTGCTCCATCAGCAGGATTGTTCACCTCTGTGAGTTGAATGCAGTCATCACAGGAAACATTCTGAGAATGCTTCTGTCTAGGTTTGATGTGAAGATATACCCGTTTCGAAGGAAGGCCACAAAGTGGTCCAAATATCCACTTGCAGATTCTACAAAAAGAGGGTTTGAAAGCTGAACTATGAAAGCAAGGTTCAACTCTGTGAGTTGAATGCAAACATCACAAAGAAGTTTCTCAGAATGCTTCCGTGTAGTTCTGGGAAGTTTATCCCGTTTCCAACGAAATCCTCAGAGAGGTCCAAATATCCACTTGCAGATTCTACAGAAAGTGTGTTTGGAAACTGCGCCATCTAAAGGAATGTTCAGCTCTGTTAGTTCAATGCAATGATCACTAAGGATTGTCTGTGAATGCTTCCGTTTGGTTTTTAGATGAAGTTATTTCCTTTACTACAGTAGGCCTCAAAGCAGTCCAAATCTCCAATCGCAGATTCTACAAAAAGATTGTTTACAACCTGCTCTATGTATAGGAATGTTCAACTCTGTGAGTCGAATGCAATCATCACAAAGTAGTTTCTGAGAATGCTTCCATCTAGTTTTTATGTGAAGATTTTCCTTTTCCACCACAGGCCTCAAAGCCCTCCAAATGTCCACTTGCAGATTCTAGAAAAAGAGGGTTTCAGAGCTGCTCTGTCAAGAGGAAAGTTCAATTCTTGAAGTGGAACAGAAACATCACAAAGCAGTTTCTGGGAATGCTTCTGTTTAGTTTTTCTGTGAAGATGAACCCGTTTCCAACGAAATCTTCACAGAGGTCCACATATCCACTTGCAGAATCCAAAGAAAGAGAGTTTCAAAACTGCTCCATCAGCAGGATTGTTCACCTCTGTGAGTTGAATGCAGTCATCACAGGAAACATTCTGAGAATGCTTCTGTCTAGGTTTGATGTGAAGATATACCCGTTTCGAAGGAAGGCCACAAAGTGGTCCAAATATCCACTTGCAGATTCTACAAAAAGAGTGTTTGAAAGCTGAACTATGAAAGCAAGGTTCAACTCTGTGAGTTGAATGCAAACATCAGAAAGATGATTCTCACAATGCTTCCGTGTAGTTCTGGGAAGTTTATCCCGTTTCCAACGAAATCCTCAGAGAAGTCCAAATATCCACTTGCAGATTCTGCAGAAAGTGTGTTTGGAAACTGCTCCATCTAAAGGAATGTTCAGCTCTGTTAGTTCAATCCAATGATCACTAAGAATTGTCTGTGAATGCTTCCGTTTGGTTTTTAGATGAAGTTATTTCCTTTACTACAGTAGGCCTCAAAGCAGTCCAAATCTCCAATCGCAGATTCTACAAAAACATTGTTTACAACCTGCTCTATCTATAGTAATGTTCAACTCTGTGAGTCGAATGCAATCATCACAAAGTAGTTTCTGAGAATGCTTCCATCTAGTTTTTATGGGAAGATTTTCCTTTTCCACCACAGGCCTCAAAGCCCTCCAAATGTCCACTTGCAGATTCTAGAAAAAGAGGGTTTCAGAGCTGCTCTGTCAAGAGGAAAGTTCAATTCTTGAAGTGGAACACAAACATCACAAAGCAGTTTCTGAGAATGCTTCTGTTTAGTTTTTCTGTGAAGATGAACCCGTTTCCAACGAAATCTTCACAGAGGTCCACATATCAACTTGCAGAATCCAAAGAAAGAGAGTTTCAAAACTGCTCCATCAACAGGATTGTTCACCTCTGTGAGTTGAATGCAGTCATCACAGGAAACATTCTGAGAATGCTTCTGTCTAGGTTTGATGTGAAGATATACCCGTTTCGAAGGAAGGCCACAAAGTGGTCCAAATATCCACTTGCAGATTCTACAAAAAGAGTGTTTGAAAGCTGAACTATGAAAGCAAGGTTCAACTCTGTGAGTTGAATGCAAACATCACAAAGAAGTTTCTCACAATGCTTCCGTGTAGTTCTGGGAAGTATATCCCGTTTCCAACGAAATCCTCAGAGAAGTCCAAATATCCACTTGCAGATTCTACAGAAAGTGTGTTTGGAAAATGCTCCATCTAAAGGAATGTTCAGCTCTGTTAGTTCAATGCAATGATCACTAAGAATTGTCTGTGAATGCTTCCGTTTGGTTTTTAGATGAAGTTATTTCCTTTACTACAGTAGGCCTCAAAGCAGTCCAAATCTCCAATCGCAGATTCTACAAAAAGATTGTTTACAACCTGCTCTATCTATAGGAATGTTCAACTCTGTGAGTCGAATGCAATCATCACAAAGTAGTTTCTGAGAATGCTTCCATCTAGTTTTTATGTGAAGATTTTCCTTTTCCACCACAGGCCTCAAAGCCCTCCAAATGTCCACTTGCAGATTCTAGAATAAGAGGGTTTCAGAGCTGCTCTGTCAAGAGGAAAGTTCAATTCCTGAAGTGGAACACAAACATCACAAAGCAGTTTCTGAGAATGCTTCTGTTTAGTTTTTCTGTGAAGATGAACCCGTTTCCAACGAAATCTTCACAGAGGTCCACATATCAACTTGCAGAATCCAAAGAAAGAGAGTTTCAAAAGTGCTGCATCAGCAGGATTGTTCACCTCTGTGAGTTGAATGCAGTCATCACAGGAAACATTCTGAGAGTGCTTCTGTCTAGGTTTGATGTGAAGATATACCCGTTTCGAAGGAAGGCCACAAAGTGGTCCAAATATCCACTTGCAGATTCTACAAAAAGAGTGTTTGAAAGCTGAACTATGAAAGCAAGGTTCAACTCTGTGAGTTGAATGCAAACATCACAAAGAAGTTTCTCACAATGCTTCCGTGTAGTTCTGGGAAGTTTATCCCGTTTCCAACGAAATCCTCAGAGAAGTCCAAATATCCACTTGCAGATTCTACAGAAAGTGTGTTTGGAAACTGCTCCATCTAAAGGAATGTTCAGCTCTGTTAGTTCAATCCAATGATCACTAAGAATTGTCTGTGAATGCTTCCGTTTGGTTTTTAGATGAAGTTATTTCCTTTACTACAGTAGGCCTCAAAGCAGTCCAAATCTCCAATCGCAGATTCTACAAAAAGATTGTTTACAACCTGCTCTATCTATAGGAATGTTCAACTCTGTGAGTCGAATGCAATCATCACAAAGTAGTTTCTGAGAATGCTTCCATCTAGTTTTTATGGGAAGATTTTCCTTTTCCACCACAGGCCTCAAAGCCCTCCAAATGTCCACTTGCAGATTCCAGAAAAAGAGGGTTTCAGAGCTGCTCTGTCAAGAGGAAAGTTCAATTCTTGAAGTGGAACACAAACATCACAAAGCAGTTTCTGAGAATGCTCCTGTTTAGTTTTTCTGTGAAGATGAACCCGTTTCCAACGAAATCTTCACAGAGGTCCACATATCCACTTGCAGAATCCAAAGAAAGAGAGTTTCAAAACTGCTCCATCAGCAGGATTGTTCACCTCTGTGAGTTGAATGCAGTCATCACAGGAAACATTCTGAGAATGCTTCTGTCTAGGTTTGATGTGAAGATATACCCGTTACGAAGGAAGGCCACAAAGTGGTCCAAATATCCACTTGCAGATTCTACAAAAAGAGTGTTTGAAAGCTGAACTATGAAAGCAAGGTTCAACTCTGTGAGTTGAATGCAAACATCACAAAGAAGTTTCTCACAATGCTTCCGTGTAGTTCTGGGAAGTTTATCACATTTCCAACGAAATCCTCACAGAGGTCCAAATATCCACTTGCAGATTCTACATAAAGTCTGTTTGGAAACTGCGCCATCTAAAGGAATGTTCAGCTCTCTTAGTTCAATCCAATCATCACAAAGAATTTTCTGTGAATGCTTCCGTTTGGTTTTTAGATGAAGTTGTTTCCTTTACTACAGTAGACCTCAAAGCAGTCCAAATCTCCAATCGCAGATTCTACAAAAAGATTGTTTACAACCTGCTCTATCTATAGGAATGTTCAACTCTGTGAGTCGAATGCAATCATCACAAAGTAGTTTCTGAGAATGCTTCCATCTAGTTTTTATGTGAAGATTTTCCTTTTCCACCACAGGCCTCAAAGCCCTCCAAATGTCCACTTGCAGATTCTAGAAAAAGAGGGTTTCAGAGCTGCTCTTTGAAGAGGAAAGTTCAATTCTTGAAG
Source organism: Homo sapiens (assembly GCF_000001405.40). NCBI lineage: Eukaryota > Metazoa > Chordata > Mammalia > Primates > Hominidae > Homo > Homo sapiens. The sequence goes on along the minus strand of NC_000011.10, from coordinate 52,192,506 downwards.
TGGAACACAAACATCACAAAGCAGTTTCTGAGAATGATTCTGTTTAGTTTTTCTGTGAAGATGAACCCGTTTCCAACGAAATCTTCACAGAGGTCCACATATCAACTTGCAGAATCCAAAGAAAGAGAGTTTCAAAAGTGCTCCATCAACAGGATTGTTCACCTCTGTGAGTTGAATGCAGTCATCACAGGAAACATTCTGAGAATGCTTCTGTCTAGGTTTGATGTGAAGATATACCCGTTTCGAAGGAAGGCCACAAAGTGGTCCAAATATCCACTTGCAGATTCTACAAAAAGAGTGTTTGAAAGCTGAACTATGAAAGCAAGGTTCAACTCTGTGAGTTGAATGCAAACATCACAAAGAAGTTCTCAGAATGCTTCCGTGTAGTTCTGGGAAGTTTATCCCCTTTCCAACGAAATCCTCAGAGAAGTCCAAATATCCACTTGCAGATTCTACAGAAAGTGGGTTTGGAAACTGCTCCATCTAAAGGAATGTTCAGCTCTGTTAGTTCAATCCAATGATCCCTAAGAATTGTCTGTGAATGCTTCCGTTTGGTTTTTAGATGAAGTTATTTCCTTTACTACAGTAGGCCTCAAAGCAGTCCAAATCTCCAATCGCAGATTCTACAAAAAGATAGTTTACAACCTGCTCTATCTATAGGAATGTTCAACTCTGTGAGTCGAATGCAATCATCACAAAGTAGTTTCTGAGAATGCTTCCATCTAGTTTTTATGTGAAGATTTTCCTTTTCCACCACAGGCCTCAAAGCCCTCCAAATGTCCACTTGCAGATTCTAGAAAAAGAGGGATTCAGAGCTGCTCTGTCAAGAGGAAAGTTCAATTCTTGAAGTGGAACACAAACATCACAAAGCAGTTTCTGAGAATGCTCCTGTTTAGTTTTTCTGTGAAGATGAACCCGTTTCCAACGAAATCTACACAGAGGTCCACATATCCACTTGCAGAATCCAAAGAAAGAGAGTTTCAAAACTGCTCCATCAGCAGGATTGTTCACCTCTGTGAGTTGAATGCAGTCATCACAGGAAACATTCTGAGAATGCTTCTGTCTAGGTTTGATGTGAAGATATACCCGTTTCGAAGGAAGGCCACAAAGTGGTCCAAATATCCACTTGCAGATTCTACAAAAAGAGTGTTTGAAAGCTGAACTATGAAAGCAAGGTTCAACTCTGTGAGTTGAATGCAAACATCACAAAGAAGTTTCTCACAATGCTTCCGTGTAGTTCTGGGAAGTTTATCCCTTTTCCAACGAAATCCTCAGAGAGGTCCAAATATCCACTTGCAGATTCTACAGAAAGTGTGTTTGGAAACTGCGCCATCTAAAGGAATGTTCAGCTCTGTTAGTTCAATGCAATGATCACTAAGAATTGTCTGTGAATGCTTCCTTTTGGTTTTTAGATGAAGTTATTTCCTTTACTACAGTAGGCCTCAAAGCAGTCCAAATCTCCAATCGCAGATTCTACAAAAAGATTGTTTACAACCTGCTCTATCTATAGGAATGTTCAACTCTGTGAGTCGAATGCAATCATCACAAAGTAGTTTCTGAGAATGCTTCCATCTAGTTTTTATGTGAAGATTTTCCTTTTCCACCACAGGCCTCAAAGCCCTCCACATGTCCACTTGCAGATTCTAGAATAAGAGGGTTTCAGAGCTGCTCTGTCAAGAGGAAAGTTCAATTCCTGTAGTGGAACACAAACATCACAAAGCAGTTTCTGAGAATGCTTCTGTTTAGTTTTTCTGTGAAGATGAACCCGTTTCCAACGAAATCTTCACAGAGGTCCACATATCTACTTGCAGAATCCAAAGAAAGAGAGTTTCAAAACTGCTCCATCAGCAGGATTGTTCACCTCTGTGAGTTGAATGCAGTCATCACAGGAAACATTCTGAGAATGCTTCTGTCTAGGTTTGATGTGAAGATATACCCGTTTCGAAGGAAGGCCACAAAGTGGTCCAAATATCCACTTGCAGATTCTACAAAAAGAGTGTTTGAAAGCTGAACTATGAAAGCAAGGTTCAACTCTATGAGTTGAATGCAAACATCACAAAGAAGTTTCTCAGAATGCTTAAGTGTAGTTCTGGGAAGTTTATCCCGTTTCCAACGAAATCCTCAGAGAAGTCCAAATATCCACTTGCAGATTCTACAGAAAATGTGTTTGGAAACTGCTCCATCTAAAGGAATGTTCAGCTCTGTTAGTTCAATCCAATGATCACTAAGAATTGTCTGTGAATGCTTCCGTTTGTTTTTTAGATGAAGTTATTTCCTTTACTACAGTAGGCCTCAAAGCAGTCCAAATCTCCAATCGCAGATTCTAAAAAAGATTGTTTACAACCTGCTCTATCTATAGGAATGTTCAACTCTGTGAGTCGAATGCAATCATCACAAAGTAGTTTCTGAGAATGCTTCCATCTAGTTTTTAGGTGAAGATTTTCCTTTTCCACCACATGCCTCAAAGCCCTCCAAATGTCCACTTGCAGATTCTAGAAAAAGAAGGTTTCAGAGCTGCTGTGTCAAGAGGTAAGTTGAATTCTTGAAGTGGAACACAAACATCACAAAGCAGTTTCTGATAATGCTCCTGTTTAGTTTTTCTGGGAAGATGAACCCGTTTCCAACGAAATCTTCACAGAGCTCCACATATCCACTTGCAGAATCCAAAGAAAGAGAGTTTCAAAACTGCTCCATCAGCAGGATTGTTCACCTCTGTGAGTTGAATGCAGTCATCACAGGAAACATTCTGAGAATGCTTCTGTCTAGGTTTGATGTGAAGATATACCCGTTTCGAAGGAAGGCCACAAAGTGGTCCAAATATCCACTTGCAGATTCTACAAAAAGAGTGTTTGAAAGATGAACTATGAAAGCAAGGTTCAACTCTGTGAGTTGAATGCAAACATCACAAAGAAGTTTCTCACAATGCTTCCGTGTGGTTCTGGGAAGTTTATCCCGTTTCCAACGAAATCCTCAGAGAGGTCCAAATATCCACTTGCAGATTCTACAGAAATTGTGTTTGGAAACTGCGCCATCTTAAGGAATGTTCAGCTCTGTTAGTTCAATGCAATGATCACTAAGAATTGTCTGTGAATGCTTCCGTTTGGTTTTTAGGTGAAGTTATTTCCTTTACTACAGTAGGCCTCAAAGCAGTCCAAATCTCCAATCGCAGATTCTACAAAAAGATTGTTTACAACCTGCTCTATCTATAGGAATGTTCAACTCTGTGAGTCGAATGCAATCATCACAAAGTAGTTTCTGAGAATGCTTCCATCTAGTTTTTATGAGAAGATTTTCCTTTTCCACCACAGGCCTCAAAGCCCTCCAAATGTCCACTTGCAGATTCTAGAAAAAGAGGGTTTCAGAGCTGCTCTGTCAAGAGGAAAGTTCAATTCTTGATGTGGAACACAAACATCACAAAGTAGTTTCTGAGAATGCTTCTGTTTAGTTTTTCTGTGAAGATGAACCCGTTTCCAACGAAATCTTCACAGAGGTCCACATATCCACTTGCAGAATCCAAAGAAAGAGAGTTTCAAAACTGCTCCATCAGCAGGATTGTTCACCTCTGTGAGTTGAATGCAGTCATCACAGGAAACATTCTGAGAATGCTTCTGTCTAGGTTTGATGTGAAGATATACCCTTTTCAAAGGAAGGCCACAAAGTGGTCCAAATATCCACTTGCAGATTCTACAAAAAGAGTGTTTGAAAGCTGAACTATGAAAGCAAGGTTCAACTCTGTGAGTTGAATGCAAACATCACAAAGAAGTTTCTCACAATGCTTCCGTGTAGTTCTGGGAAGTTTATCCCGTTTCCAACGAAATCCTCAGAGAAGTCCAAATATCCACTTGCAGATTCTACAGAAAGTGTGTTTGGAAACTGCTCCATCTAAAGGAATGTTCAGCTCTGTTAGTTCAATGCAATGATCACTAAGAATTGTCTGTGAATGCTTCCGTTTGGTTTTTAGATGAAGTTATTTCCTTTACTACAGTAGGCCTCAAAGCAGTCCAAATCTCCAATCGCAGATTCTACAAAAAGATTGTTTACAACCTGCTCTATCTATAGGAATGTTCAACTCTGTGAGTCGAATGCAATCATCACAAAGTAGTTTCTGAGAATGCTTCCATCTAGTTTTTATGTGAAGATTTTCCTTTTCCACCACAGGCCTCAAAGCCCTCCAAATGTCCACTTGCAGATTCTAGAAAAAGAGGGTTTCAGAGCTGCTCTGTCAAGAGGAAAGTTCAATTCTTGAAGTGGAACACAAACATCACAAAGCAGTTTCTGAGAATGTTTCTGTTTAGTTTTTCTGTGAAGATGAACCCGTTTCCAACGAAATCTTCACAGAGGTCCACATATCCACATGCAGAATCCAAAGAAAGAGAGTTTCAAAACTGCTCCATCAGCAGGATTGTTCACCTCTGTGAGTTGAATGCAGTCATCACAGGAAACATTCTGAGAATGCTTCTGTCTAGGTTTGATGTGAAGATATACCCGTTTCGAAGGAAGGCCACAAAGTGGTCCAAATATCCACTTGCAGATTCTACAAAAAGAGTGTTTGAAAGCTTAACTATGAAAGCAAGGTTCAACTCTGTGAGTTGAATGCAAACATCACAAAGAATTTTCTCAGAATGCTTCCGTGTAGTTCTGGGAAATTTATCCCGTTTCCAACGAAACCCTCAGAGAGGTCCAAATGTCCACTTGCAGATTCTACAGAAAGTGTGTTTGGAAAATGCTCCATCTAAAGGAATCTTCAGCTCGGTTAGTTCAATCAAATGATCACTAAGACTTGTCTGTGAATGCTTCCGTTTGGTTTTTAGATGAAGTTATTTCCTTTACTACAGTAGGCCTCAAAGCAGTCCAAATCTCCAATCGCAGATTCTACAAAAAGATTGTTTACAACCTGCTCTATCTATAGGAATGTTCAACTCTGTGAGTCGAATGCAATCATCACAAAGTAGTTTCTGAGAATGCTTCCATCTAGTTTTTATGTGAAGATTTTCCTTTTCCACCACAGGCCTCAAAGCCCTCCAAATGTCCACTTGCAGATTCTAGAATAAGAGGGTTTCAGAGCTGCTCTGTCAAGAGGAAAGTTCAATTCCTGAAGTGGAACACAAACATCACAAAGCAGTTTCTGAGAATGCTTCTGTTTAGTTTTTCTGTGAAGATGAACCCGTTTCCAACGAAATCTTCACAGAGGTCCACATGTCCACTTGCAGAATCCAAAGAAAGAGAGTTTCAAAACTGCTCCATCAGCAGGATTGTTCACCTCTGTGAGTTGAATGCAGTCATCACAGGAAACATTGTGAGAATGCTTCTGTCTAGGTTTGATGTGAAGATATACCCGTTTCGAAGGAAGGCCACAAAGTGGTCCAAATATCCACTTGCAAATTCTACAAAAAGAGTGTTTGAAAGCTGAACTATGAAAGCAAGGTTCAACTCTGTGAGTTGAATGCAAACATCACAAAGAAGTTTCTCAGAATGCTTCCGTGTAGTTCTGGGAAGTTTATCCCGTTTCCAACGAAATCCTCAGAGAAGTCCAAATATCCACTTGCAGATTCTACAGAAAGTGTGTTTGGAAACTGCTCCATCTAAAGGAATGTCCAGCTCTGTTAGTTCAATCCAATGATCACTAAGAATTGTCTGTGAATGCTTCCGTTTGGTTTTTAGATGAAGTTATTTCCTTTACTACAGTAGGCCTCAAAGCAGTCCAAATCTCCAATCGCAGATTCTACAAAAAGATTGTTTACAACCTGCTCTATCTATAGGAATATTCAACTCTGTGAGTCGAATGCAATCATCACAAAGTAGTTTCTGAGAATGCTTCCATCTAGTTTTTATGTGAAGATTTTCCTTTTCCACCACAGGCCTCAAAGCCCTCCAAATGTCCACTTGCAGATTCAGGAAAAAGAGGGTTTCAGAGCTGCTCTGTCAAGAGGAAAGTTCAATTCTTGAAGTGGAACACAAACATCACAAAGCAGTTTCTGAGAATGCTTCTGTTTAGTTTTTCTGTGAAGATGAACCCGTTTCCAACGAAATCTTCACAGAGGTCCACATATCAACTTGCAGAATCCAAAGAAAGAGAGTTTCAAAACTGCTCCATCAACAGGATTGTTCACCTCTGTGAGTTGAATGCAGTCATCACAGGAAACATTCTGAGAATGCTTCTGTCTAGGTTTGATGTGAAGATATACCCTTTTCAAAGGAAGGCCACAAAGTGGTCCAAATATCCACTTGCAGATTCTACAAAAAGAGTGTTTGAAAGCTGAACTATGAAAGCAAGGTTCAACTCTGTGAGTTGAATGCAAACATCACAAAGAAGTTTCTCACAATGCTTCCGTGTAGTTCTGGGAAGTTTATCCCATTTCCAACGAAATCCTCAGAGAAGTCCAAATATCCACTTGCAGATTCTACAGAAAGTGTGTTTGGAAAATGCTCCATCTAAAGGAATGTTCAGCTCTGTTAGTTCAATCCAATGATCACTAAGAATTGTCTGTGAATGCTTCCGTTTGGTTTTTAGATGAAGTTATTTCCTTTACTACAGTAGGCCTCAAAGCAGTCCAAATCTCCAATCGCAGATTCTACAAAAAGATTGTTTACAACCTGCTCTATCTATAGGAATGTTCAACTCTGTGAGTCGAATGCAATCATCACAAAGTAGTTTCTGAGAATGCTTCCATCTAGTTTTTATGTGAAGATTTTCCTTTTCCACCACAGGCCTCAAAGCCCTCCAAATGTCCACTTGCAGATTCTAGCAAAAGAGGGTTTCAGAGCTGCTCTGTCAAGAGGAAAGTTCAATTCTTGAAGTGGAACACAAACATCACAAAGCAGTTTCTGAGAATGCTCCTGTTAATTTTTCTGTGAAGATGAACCCGTTTCCAACGAAATCTTCACAGAGGTCCACATATCCACTTGCAGAATCCAAAGAAAGAGAGTTTCAAAACTGCTCCATCAGCAGGATTGTTCACCTCTGTGAGTTGAATGCAGTCATCACAGGAAACATTCTGAGAATGCTTCTGTCTAGGTTTGATGTGAACATATACCCGTTTCGAAGGAAGGCCACAAAGTGGTCCAAATATCCACTTGCAGATTCTACAAAAAGAGTGTTTGAAAGCTGAACTATGAAAGCAAGGTTCAACTCTGTGAGTTGAATGCAAACATCACAAAGAAGTTTCTCAGAATGCTTCCGTGTAGTTCTGGGAATTTTATCCTGTTTCAAACGATATCCTCAGAGAGGTCCAAATATCCAGTTGCAGATTCTACAGAAAGTGTGTCTGGAAACTGCGCCATCTAAAGGAATGTTCAGCTCTGTTAGTTCAATCCAATGATCACTAAGAATTGTCTGTGAATGCTTCCGTTTGGTTTTTAGATGAAGTTATTTCCGTTACTACAGTAGGCCTCAATGCAGTCCAAATCTCCAATCGCAGATTCTACAAAAAGATTGTTTACAACCTGCTCTATCTATAGGAATGTTCTACTCTGTGAGTCGAATGCAATCATCACAAAGTAGTTTCTGAGAATGCTTCCATCTAGTTTTTATGTGAAGATTTTCCTTTTCCACCACAGTCCTCAAAGCCCTCCAAATGTCCACTTACAGATTCTAGAAAAAGAGGGTTTCAGAGCTGCTCTGTCAAGAGCAAAGTTCAATTCTTGAAGTGGAACACAAACATCACAAAGCAGTTTCTGAGAATGCTCCTGTTTAGTTTTTCTGTGAAGATGAACCCGTTTCCAACGAAATCTTCACAGAGGTCCACATATCCACTTGCAGAATCCAAAGAAAGAGAGTTTCAAAACTGCTCCATCAGCAGGATTGTTCACCTCTGTGAGTTGAATGCAGTCATCACAGGAAACATTCTGAGAATGCTTCTGTCAAGGTTTGATGTGAAGATATACCCGTTTCGAAGGAAGGCCACAAACTGGTCCAAATATCCACTTGCAGATTCTACAAAAAGAGTGTTTGAAAGCTGAACTATGAAAGCAAGGTTCAACTCTGTGAGTTGAATGCAAACATCACAAAGAAGTTTCTCAGAATGCTTCCGTGTAGTTCTGGGAAGTTTATCCCGTTTCCAACGAAATCCTCAGAGAAGTCCAAATATCCACTTGCAGATTCTACAGAAAGTGGGTTTGGAAACTGCTCCATCTAAAGGAATGTTCAGCTCTGTTAGTTCAATCCAATGATCACTAAGAATTGTCTGTGAATGCTTCCGTTTGGTTTTTAGATGAAGTTATTTCCTTTACTACAGTAGGCCTCAAAGCAGTCCAAATCTCCAATCGCAGATTCTACAAAAAGATTGTTTACAACCTGCTCTATCTATAGGAATGTTCAACTCTGTGAGTCGAATGCAATCATCACAAAGGAGTTTCTGAGAATGCTTCCATCTAGTTTTTATGTGAAGATTTTCCTTTTCCACCACAGGCCTCAAAGCCCTCCAAATGTCCACTTGCAGATTCTAGAATAAGAGGATTTCAGAGCTGCTCTGTCAAGAGGAAAGTTCAATTCCTGAAGTGGAACACAAACATCACAAAGCAGTTTCTGAGAATGTTTCTGTTTAGTTTTTCTGTGAAGACGAACCCGTTTCCAACGAAATCTTCACAGAGGTCCACATATCCACTTGCAGAATCCAAAGAAAGAGAGTTTCAAAACTGCTCCATCAGCAGGATTGTTCACCTCTGTGAGTCGAATGCAGTCATCACAGGAAACATTCTGAGAATGCTTCTGTCTAGGTTTGATGTGAAGATATACCCGTTTCGAAGGAAGGCCACAAAGTGGTCCAAATATCCACTTGCAGATTCTACAAAAAGAGTGTTTGAAAGCTGAACTATGAAAGCAAGTTTCTACTCTGTGAGTTGAATGCAAACATCACAAAGAAGTTTCTCACAATGCTTCCGTGTAGTTCTGGGAAGTTTATCCCGTTTCCAACGAAATCCTCAGAGAGGTCCAAATATCCACTTGCAGATTCTACAGAAAGTGTGTTTGGAAACTGCGCCATCTAAAGGAATGTTCAGCTCTGTTAGTTCAATGCAATGATCACTAAGAATTGTCTGTGAATGCTTCCGTTTGGTTTTTAGATGAAGTTATTTCCTTTACTACAGTAGGCCTCAAAGCAGTCCAAATCTCCAATCGCAGATTCTACAAAAAGATTGTTTACAACCTGCTCTATCTATAGGAATGTTCAACTCTGTGAGTCGAATGCAATCATCACAAAGTAGTTTCTGAGAATGCTTCCATCTAGTTTTTATGGGAAGATTTTCCTTTTCCACCACAGGCCTCAAAGCCCTCCAAATGTCCACTTGCAGATTCCAGAAAAAGAGGGTTTCAGAGCTGCTCTGTCAAGAGGAAAGTTCAATTCTTGAAGTGGAACACAAACATCACAAAGCAGTTTTCTGAGAATGCTCCTGTTTAGTTTTTCTGTGAAGATGAACACGTTTCCAACGAAATCTTCACAGAGGTCCACATATCCACTTGCAGAATCCAAAGAAAGAGAGTTTCAAAACTGCTCCATCAGCAGGATTGTTCACCTCTGTGAGTTGAATGCAGTCATCACAGGAAACATTCTGAGAATTCTTCTGTCTAGGTTTGATGTGAAGATATACCCGTTTCGAAGGAAGGCCCCAAAGTGGTCCAAATATCCACTTGCAGATTCTACAAAAAGAGTGTTTGAAAGCTGAACTATGAAAGCAAGGTTCAACTCTGTGAGTTGAATGCAAACAACACAAAGAAGTTTCTCAGAATGCTTCCGTGTAGTTCTGGGAAGTTTATCCCGTTTCCAACGAAATCCTCAGAGAGGTCCAAATATCCACTTGCAGATTCTACAGAAAGTGTGTTTGGAAACTGCTCCATCTAAAGGAATGTTCAGCTCTGTTAGTTCAATCCAATGATCACTAAGAATTGTCTGTGAATGCTTCCGTTTGGTTTTTAGATGAAGTTATTTCCTTTACTACAGTAGGCCTCAAAGCAGTCCAAATCTCCAATCGCAGATTCTACAAAAAGATTGTTTACAACCTGCTCTATCTATAGGAATGTTCAACTCTGTGAGTCGAATGCAATCATCACAAAGTAGTTTCTGAGAATGCTTCCATCTAGTTTTTATGTGAAGATTTTCCTTTTCCACCACAGGCCTCAAAGCCCTCCAAATGTCCACTTGCAGATTCTAGAAAAAGAGGGTTTCAGAGCTGCTCTGTCAAGAGGAAAGTTCAATTCTTGAAGTGGAACACAAACATCACAAAGCAGTTTCTGAGAATGCTTCTGTTTAGTTTTTCTGTGAAGATGAACCCGTTTCCAACGAAATCTTCACAGAGGTCCACATATCCACTTGCAGAATCCAAAGAAAGAGAGTTTCAAAACTGCTCCATCAGCAGGATTGTTCACCTCTGTGAGTTGAATGCAGTCATCACAGGAAACATTCTGAGAATGCTTCTGTCTAGGTTTGATGTGAAGATATACCCGTTTCCAAGGAAGGCCACAAAGTGGTCCAAATATCCACTTGCAGATTCTACAAAAGGAGTGTTTGAAAGCTGAACTATGAAAGCAAGGTTCAACTCTGTGAGTTGAATGCAAACATCACAAAGAAGTTTCTCACAATGCTTCCGTGTAGTTCTGGGAAGTTTATCCCTTTTCCAACGAAATCCTCAGAGAGGTCCAAATATCCACTTGCAGATTCTACAGAAAGTGTGTTTGGAAACTGCGCCATCTAAAGGAATGTTCAGCTCTGTTAGTTCAATGCAATGATCACTAAGAATTGTCTGTGAATGCTTCCGTTTGGTTTTTAGGTGAAGTTATTTGCTTTACTACAGTAGGCCTCAAAGCAGTCCAAATCTCCAATCGCAGATTCTACAAAAAGATTGTTTACAACCTTCTCTATCTATAGGAATGTTCAACTCTGTGAGTCGAATGCAATCATCACAAAGTAGTTTCTGAGAATGCTTCCATCTAGTTTTTATGTGAAGATTTTCCTTTTCCACCACAGGCCTCAAAGCCCTCCAAATGTCCACTTGCAGATTCTAGATTAAGAGGGTTTCAGAGCTGCTCTGTCAAGAGGAAAGTTCAATTCCTGAAGTGGAACACAAACATCACAAAGCAGTTTCTGAGAATGCTCCTGTTTAGTTTTTCTGTGAAGATGAACCCGTTTCCAACGAAATCTTCACAGAGTTCAACATATCCACTTGCAGAATCTAAAGAAAGAGAGTTTCAAAACTGCTCCATCAGCAGGATTGTTCACCTCTGTGAGTTGAATGCAGTCATCACAGGAAACATTCTGAGAATGCTTCTGTCTAGGTTTGATGTGAAGATATACCCGTTTCGAAGGAAGGCCACAAAGTGGTCCAAATATCCACTTGCAGATTCTACAAAAAGAGTGTTTGAAAGCTGAACTATGAAAGCAAGGTTCAACTCTGTGAGTTGAATGCAAACATCACAAAGAAGTTTCTCACAATGCTTCCGTGTAGTTCTGGGAAGTTTATCCCGTTTCCAACGAAATCCTCAGAGAGGTCCAAATATCCACTTGCAGATTTTACAGAAAGTGTGTTTGGAAACTACGCCATCTAAAGGAATGTTCAGCTCTGTTAGATCAATGCAATGATCACTAAGAATTGTCTGTGAATGCTTCCGTTTGGTTTTTAGATGAAGTTATTTCCTTTACTACAGTAGGCCTCAAAGCAGTCCAAATCTCCAATCGCAGATTCTACAAAAAGATTGTTTACAACCTGCTCTATCTATAGGAATGTTCAACTCTGTGAGTCGAATGCAATCATCACAAAGTAGTTTCTGAGAATGCTTCCATCTAGTTTTTATGTGAAGATTTTCCTTTTCCACCACAGGCCTCAAAGCCCTCCAAATGTCCACTTGCAGATTCTAGAAAAAGAGGGTTTCAGAGCTGCTCTGTCAAGAGGAAAGTTCAATTCTTGAAGTGGAACACAAACATCACAAAGCAGTTTCTGAGAATGCTCCTGTTTAGTTTTTCTGTGAAGATGAACCCGTTTCCAAGGAAATCTTCACAGAGGTCCACATATCCACTTGCAGAATCCAAAGAAAGGGAGTTTCAAAACTGCTCCATCAGCAGGATTGTTCACCTCTGTGAGTTGAATGCAGTCATCACAGGAAACATTCTGAGAATGCTTCTGTCTAGGTTTGATGTGAAGATATACCCGTTTCGAAGGAAGGCCACAAAGTGGTCCAAATATCCACTTGCAGATTCTACAAAAAGAGTCTTTGAAAGCTGAACTATGAAAGCAAGGTTCAACTCTGTGAGTTGAATGCAAACATCACAAAGAAGTTTCTCAGAATGCTTCCGTGTAGTTCTAGGAAGTTTATCCCGTTTCCAACGAAATCCTCAGAGAGGTCCAAATATCCACTTGCAGATTCTACAGAAAGTGTGTTTGGAAACTGCTCCATCTAAAGGAATGTTCAGCTCTGTTAGTTCAATCCAATGATCACTAAGAATTGTCTGTGAATGCTTCCGTTTGGTTTTTAGATGAAGTTATTTCCTTTACTACAGTAGGCCTCAAAGCAGTCCAAATCTCCAATCGCAGATTCTACAAAAAGATTGTTTACAACCTGCTCTATCTATAGGAATGTTCAACTCTGTGAGTCGAATGCAATCATCACAAAGTAGTTTCTGAGAATGCTTCCATCTAGTTTTTATGGGAAGATTTTCCTTTTCCACCACAGGCCTCAAAGCCCTCCAAATGTCCACTTGCAGATTCTAGAAAAAGAGGATTTCAGAGCTGCTCTGTCAAAAGGAAAGTTCAATTCTTCAAGTGGAACACAAACATCACAAAGCAGTTTCTGAGAATGCTCCTGTTAATTTTTCTGTGAAGATGAACCCGTTTCCAACGAAATCTTCACAGAGGTCCACATATCCACTTGCAGAATCAAAAGAAAGGGAGTTTCAAAACGGCTCCATCAACAGGATTGTTCACCTCTGTGAGTTGAATGCAGTCATCACAGGAAACATTCTGAGAATGCTTCTGTCTAGGTTTGATGTGAAGATATACCCGTTTCGAAGGAAGGCCAGAAAGTGGTCCAAATATCCACTTGCAGATTCTACAAAAAGAGTGTTTGAAAGCTGAACTATGAAAGCAAGGTTCAACTCTGTGAGTTGAATGCAAACATCACAAAGAAGTTTCTCAGAATGCTTCCGTGTACTTCTGGGAAGTTTATCCCGTTTCCAACGAAATCCTCAGAGAAGTCCAAATATCCACTTGCAGATTCTAGAGAAAGTGTGTTTGGAAACTACTCCATCTAAAGGAATGTTCAGCTCTGTTAGTTCAATCCAATGATCACTAAGAATTGTCTGTGAATGCTTCCGTTTGGTTTTTAGATGAAGTTATTTCCTTTACTACAGTAGGCCTCAAAGCAGTCCAAATCTCCAATCGCAGATTCTACAAAAAGATTGTTTACAACCTGCTCTATCTATAGGAATGTTCAACTCTGTGAGTCGAATGCAATCATCACAAAGTAGTTTCTGAGAATGCTTCCATCTAGTTTTTATGTGAAGATTTTCCTTTTCCACCACAGGCCTCAAAGCCCTCCAAATGTCCACTTGCAGATTCTAGAAAAAGAGGGTTTCAGAGCTGCTCTTTCAAGAGGAAAGTTCAATTCCTGAAGTGGAACACAAACATCACAAAGCAGTTTCTGAGAATGCTTCTGTTTAGTTTTTCTGTGAAGATGAACCCGTTTCCAACGAAATCTTCACAGAGGTCCACATATCCACTTGCAGAATCCAAAGAAAGAGAGTTTCAAAACTGCTCCATCAGCAGGATTGTTCACCTCTGTGAGTTGAATGCAGTCATCACAGGAAACATTCTGAGAATGCTTCTGTCTAGGTTTGATGTGAAGATATACCCGTTTCGAAGGAAGGCCACAAAGTGGTCCAAATATCCACTTGCAGATTCTACAAAAAGAGTGTTTGAAAGCTGAACTATGAAAGCAAGGTTCAACTCTGTGAGTTGAATGCAAACATCACAAAGAAGTTTCTCAGAATGCTTCCGTGTAGTTCTGGGAAGTTTATCCCGTTTCCAACGAAATCCTCAGAGAGGTCCAAATATCCACTTGCAGATTCTACAGAAAGTGTGTTTGGAAACTGCTCCATCTAAAGGAATGTTCAGCTCTGTTAGTTCAATCCAATGATCACTAAGAATTGTCTGTGAATGCTTCCGTTTGGTTTTAGATGAAGTTATTTCCTTTACTACAGTAGGCCTCAAAGCAGTCCAAATCTCCAATCGCAGATTCTACAAAAAGATTGTTTACAACCTGCTCTATCTATAGGAATGTTCAACTCTGTGAGTCGAATGCAATCATCACAAAGTAGTTTCTGAGAATGCTTCCATCTAGTTTTTATGTGAAGATTTTCCTTTTCCACCACAGGCCTCAAAGCCCTCCAAATGTCCACTTGCAGATTCTAGAATAAGAGGGTTTCAGAGCTGCTCTGTCAAGAGGAAAGTTCAATTCCTGAGGTGGAACACAAACATCACAAAGCAGTTTCTGAGAATGCTTCTGTTTAGTTTTTCTGTGAAGATGAACCCGTTTCCAACGAAATCTTCACAGAGGTCCACATATCCACTTGCAGAATCCAAAGAAAGAGAGTTTCAAAACTGCTCCATCAGCAGGATTGTTCACCTCTGTGAGTTGAATGCAGTCATCACAGGAAACATTCTGAGAATGCTTCTGTCTAGGTTTGATGTGAAGATATACCCGTTTCGAAGGAAGGCCACAAAGTGGTCCAAATATCCACTTGCAGATTCTACAAAAAGAGTGTTTGAAAGCTGAACTATGAAAGCAAGGTTCAACTCTGTGAGTTGAATGCAAACATCACAAAGAAGTTTCTCAGCATGCTTCCGTGTAGTTCTGGGAAGTTTATCCCGTTTCCAACGAAATCCTCAGAGAAGTCCAAATATCCACTTGCAGATTCTACAGAAAGTGTGTTTGGAAACTGCGCCGTCTAAAGCAATGTTCAGCTCTGTTAGTTCAATGCAATGATCACTAAGAATTGTCTGTGAATGCTTCCGTTTGGTTTTCAGATGAAGTTATTTCCTTTACTACAGTAGGCCTCAAAGCAGTCCAAATCTCCAATCGCAGATTCTACAAAAAGATTGTTTACAACCTGCTCTATCTATAGGAATGTTCAACTCTGTGAGTCGAATGCAATCATCACAAAGTAGTTTCTGAGAATGCTTCCATCAATTTTTTATGTGAAGATTTTCCTTTTCCACCACAGGCCTCAAAGCCCTCCAAATGTCCACTTGGAGATTCTAGAAAAAGAGGGTTTCAGAGCTGCTCTGTCAAGAGGAAAGTTCAATTCTTGAAGTGGAACACAAACATCACAAAGCAGTTTCTGAGAATGCTCCTGTTTAGTTTTTCTGTGAAGATGAACCCGTTTCCAACGAAATCTTCACAGAGGTCCACATATCCACTTGCAGAATCCAAAGAAAGAGAGTTTCAAAACTGCTCCATCAGCAGGATTGTTCACCTCTGTGAGTTGAATGCAGTCATCACAGGAAACATCCTGAGAATGCTTCTGTCTAGGTTTGATGTGAAGATATACCCGTTTCGAAGGAAGGCCACAAAGTGGTCCAAATATCCACTTGCAGATTCTACAAAAAGAGTGTTTGAAAGCTGAACTATGAAAGCAAGGTTCAACTCTGTGAGTTGAATGCAAACATCACAAAGAAGTTTCTCACAATGCTTCCGTGTAGTTCTGGGAAGTTTATCCCGTTTCCAACGAAATCCTCAGAGAAGTCCAAATATCCACTTGCAGATTCTACAGAAAGTGGGTTTGGAAACTGCTCCATCTAAAGGAATGTTCAGCTCTGTTAGTTCAATCCAATGATCACTAAGAATTGTCTGTGAATGCTTCCGTTTGGTTTTTAGATGAAGTAATTTCCTTTACTACAGTAGGCCTCAAAGCAGTCCAAATCTCCAATCGCAGATTCTACAAAAAGATTGTTTACAACCTGCTCTATCTATAGGAATGTTCAACTCTGTGAGTCGAATGCAATCATCACAAAGAAGTTTCTGAGAATGCTTCCATAAAGTTTTTATGTGAAGATTTTCCTTTCCCACCACAGGCCTCAAAGCCCTCCAAATGTCCACTTGCAGATTCTAGAATAAGAGGGTTTCAGAGCTGCTCTGTCAAGAGGAAAGTTCAATTCTTGAAGTGGAACACAAACATCACAAAGCAGTTTCTGAGAATGCTCCTGTTTAGTTTTTTTGTGAAGATGAACCCGTTTCCAACGAAATCTTCACAGAGGTACACATATCCACTTGCAGAATCCAAAGAAAGAGAGTTTCAAAACTGCTCCATCAGCAGGATTGTTCACCTCTGTGAGTTGAATGCAGTCATCACAGGAAACATTCTGAGAATGCTTCTGTCTAGGTTTGATGTGAAGATATACCCGTTTCGAAGGAAGGCCACAAAGTGGTCCAAATATCCACTTGCAGATTCTACAAAAAGAGTGTTTGAAAGCTGAACTATGAAAGCAAGGTTCAACTCTGTGAGTTGAATGCAAACATCACAAAGAAGTTTCTCACAATGCTTCCGTGTAGTTCTGGGAAGTTTATCCCGTTTCCAACGAAATCCTCAGAGAAGTCCAAATATCCACTTGCAGATTCTACAGAAAGTGTGTTTGGAAACTGCTCCATCTAAAGGAATGTTCAGCTCTGTTAGTTCAATCCAATGATCACTAAGAATTGTCTGTGAATGCTTCCGTTTGGTTTTTAGATGAAGTTATTTCCTTTACTACAGTAGGCCTCAAAGCAGTCCAAATCTCCAATCGCAGATTCTACAGAAAGATTGTTTACAACCTGCTCTATCTATAGGAATGTTCAACTCTGTGAGTCGAATGCAATCATCCCAAAGTAGTTTCTGAGAATGCTTCCATCTAGTTTTTATGTGAAGATTTTCCTTTTCCACCACAGGCCTCAAAGCCCTCAAAATGTCCACTTGCAGACTCTAGAAAAAGAGGGTTTCAGAGCTGCTCTGTCAAGAGGAAAGTTCAATTCTTGAAGTGGAACACAGACATCACAAAGCAGTTTCTGAGAATGCTCCTGTTTATTTTTTCTGTGAAGATGAACCCGTTTCCAACGAAATCTTCACAGAGGTCCACATATCCACTTGCAGAATCCAAAGAAAGAGAGTTTCAAAACTGCTCCATCAACAGGATTGTTCACCTCTGTGAGTTGAATGCAGTCATCACAGGAAACATTCTGAGAATGCTTCTGTCTAGGTTTGATGTGAAGATATACCCGTTTCGAAGGAAGGCCACAAAGTGGTCCAAATATCCACTTGCAGATTCTACAAAAAGAGTGTTTGAAAGCTGAACTATGAAAGCAAGGTTCAACTCTGTGAGTTGAATGCAAACATCACAAAGAAGTTTCTCAGAATGCTTCCGTGTAGTTCTGGGAAGTTTATCCCGTTTCCAACGAAATCCTCAGAGAAGTCCAAATATCCACTTGCACATTCTACAGAAAGTGTGTTTGGAAACTGCTCCATCTAAAGGAATGTTCAGCTCTGTTAGTTCAATGCAATGATCACTAAGAATTGTCTGTGAATGCTTCCGTTTGGTTTTTAGATGAAGTTATTTCCTTTACTACAGTAGGCCTCAAAGCAGTCCAAATCTCCAATCGCAGATTCTACAAAAACATTGTTTACAACCTGCTCTATCTATAGGAATGTTCAACTCTGTGAGTCGAATGCAATCATCACAAAGTAGTTTCTGAGAATGCTTCCATCTAGTTTTTATGTGAAGATTTTCCTTTTCCACCACAGGCCTCAAAGCCCTCCAAATGTCCACTTGCAGATTCTAGAATAAGAGGGTTTCAGAGCTGCTCTGTCAAGAGGAAAGTTCAATTCCTGAAGTGGAACACAAACATCACAAAGCAGTTTCCGAGAATGCTTCTGTTTAGTTTTTCTGTGAAGATGAACCCGTTTCCAACGAAATCTTCACAGAGGTCCACATATCCACTTGCAGAATCCAAAGAAAGAGAGTTTCAAAACTGCTCCATCAGCAGGATTGTTCACCTCTGTGAGTTGAATGCAGTCATCACAGGAAACATTCTGAGAATGCTTCTGTCTAGGTTTGATGTGAAGATATACCCGTTTCGAAGGAAGGCCTCAAAGTGGTCCAAATATCCACTTGCAGATTCTACAAAAAGAGTGTTTGAAAGCTGAACTATGAAAGCAAGGTTCAACTCTGTGAGTTGAATGCAAACATCACAAAGAAATTTCTCAGAATGCTTCCGTGTAGTTCTGGGAAGTTTATCCCGTTTCCAACGAAATCCTCAGAGAGGTCCAAATATCCACTTGCAGATTCTACAGAAAGTTGGTTTGGAAACTGCTCCATCTAAAGGAATGTTCAGCTCTGTTAGTTCAATCCAATGATCACTAAGAATTGTCTGTGAATGCTTCCGTTTGGTTTTTAGATGAAGTTATTTCCTTTACTACAGTAGGCCTCAAAGCAGTCCAAATCTCCAATCGCAGATTCTACAAAAAGATTGTTTACAACCTGCTCTATCTATAGGAATGTTCAACTCTGTGAGTCGAATGCAATCATCACAAAGTAGTTTCTGAGAATGCTTCCATCTAGTTTTTATGTGAAGATTTTCCTTTTCCACCACAGGCCTCAAAGCCCTCCAAATGTCCACTTGCAGATTCTAGAAAAAGAGGGTTTCAGAGCTGCTCTTTCAAGAGGAAAGTTCAATTCCTGAAGTGGAACACAAACATCACAAAGCAGTTTCTGAGAATGCTCCTGTTTAGTTTTTCTGTGAAGATGAACCCGTTTCCAACGAAATCTTCACAGAGGTCCACATATCCACTTGCAGAATCCAAAGAAAGAGAGTTTCAAAACTGCTCCATCAGCAGGATTGTTCACCTCTGTGAGTTGAATGCAGTCATCACAGGAAACATTCTGAGAATGCTTCTGTCTAGGTTTGATGTGAAGATATACCCGTTTCGAAGGAAGGCCACAAAGTGGTCCAAATATCCACTTGCAGATTCTACAAAAAGAGTGTTTGAAAGCTGAACTATGAAAGCAAGGTTCAACTCTGTGAGTTGAATGCAAACATCACAAAGAAGTTTCTCAGAATGCTTCCCTGTAGTTCTGGGAAGTTTATCCCGTTTCCAACGAAATCCTCAGAGAAGTCCAAATATCCACTTGCAGATTCTACAGAAAGTGGGTTTGGAAACTGCTCCATCTAAAGGAATGTTCAGCTCTGTTAGTTCAATGCAATGATCACTAAGAATTGTCTGTGAATGCTTCCGTTGGGTTTTTAGATGAAGTTATTTCCTTTACTACAGTAGGCCTCAAAGCAGTCCAAATCTCCAATCGCAGATTCTACAAAAAGATTGTTTACAACCTGCTCTATCTATAGGAATGTTCAACTCTGTGAGTCGAATGCAATCATCACAAAGGAGTTTCTGAGAATGCTTCCATCTAGTTTTTATGTGAAGATTTTCCTTTTCCACCACAGGCCTTAAAGCCCTCCAAATGTCCACTTGCAGATTCTAGAATAAGAGGGTTTCAGAGCTGCTCTGTCAAGAGGAAAGTTCAATTCCTGAAGTGGAACACAAACATCACAAAGCAGTTTCTGAGAATGCTTCTGTTTAGTTTTTCTGTGAAGATGAACCCGTTTCCAACGAAATCTTCACAGAGGTCCACATATCCACTTGCAGAATCCAAAGAAAGAGAGTTTCAAAACTGCTCCATCAGCAGGATTGTTCACCTCTGTGAGTTGAATGCAGCCATCACAGGAAACATTCTGAGAATGCTTCTGTCTAGGTTTGATGTGAAGATATACCCGTTTCGAAGGAAGGCCACAAAGTGGTCCAAATATCCACTTGCAGATTTTACAAAAAGAGTGTTTGAAAGCTGAACTATGAAAGCAAGGTTCAACTCTGTGAGTTGAATGCAAACATCACAAAGAAGTTTCTCACAATGCTTCCGTGTAGTTCTGGGAAGTTTATCCCGTTTCCAACGAAATCCTCAGAGAGGTCCAAATATCCACTTGCAGATTCTACAGAAAGTGTGTTTGGAAACTGCGCCATCTAAAGGAATGTTCAGCTCTGTTAGTTCAATGCAATGATCACTAAGAATTGTCTGTGAATGCTTCCGTTTGGTTTTTAGATGAAGTTATTTCCTTTACTACAGTAGGCCTCAAAGCAGTCCAAATCTCCAATCGCAGATTCTACAAAAAGATTGTTTACAACCTGCTCTATCTATAGGAATGTTCAACTCTGTGAGTCGAATGCAATCATCACAAAGTAGTTTCTGAGAATGCTTCCATCTAGTTTTTATGGGAAGATTTTCCTTTTCCACCACAGGCCTCAAAGCCCTCCAAATGTCCACTTGCAGATTCTAGAAAAAGAGGGTTTCAGAGCTGCTCTGTCAAGAGGAAAGTTCAATTCTTGAAGTGGAACACAAACATCACAAAGCAGTTTCTGAGAATGCTTCTGTTTAGTTTTTCTGTGAAGATGAACCCGTTTCCAACGAAATCTTCACAGAGGTCCACATATCCACTTGCAGAATCCAAAGAAAGAGAGTTTCAAAACTGCTCCATCAACAGGATTGTTCACCTCTGTGAGTTGAATGCAGTCATCACAGGAAACATTCTGAGAATGCTTCTGTCTAGGTTTGATGTGAAGATATACCCGTTTCGAAGGAAGGCCACAAAGTGGTCCAAATATCCACTTGCAGATTCTACAAAAAGAGTGTTTGAAAGCTGAACTATGAAAGCAAGGTTCAACTCTGTGAGTTGAATGCAAACATCACAAAGAAGTTTCTCACAATGCTTCCGTGTAGTTCTGGGAAGTTTATCCCGTTTCCAACGAAATCCTCAGAGAAGTCCAAATATCCACTTGCAGATTCTACAGAAAGTGTGTTTGGAAACTGCTCCATCTAAAGGAATGTTCAGCTCTGTTAGTTCAATGCAATGATCACTAAGAATTGTCTGTGAATGCTTCCGTTTGGTTTTTAGATGAAGTTATTTCCTTTACTACAGTAGGCCTCAAAGCAGTCCAAATCTCCAATCGCAGATTCTACAAAAACATTGTTTACAACCTGCTCTATCTATAGGAATGTTCAACTCTGTGAGTCGAATGCAATCATCACAAAGTAGTTTCTGAGAATGCTTCCATCTAGTTTTTATGTGAAGATTTTCCTTTTCCACCACAGGCCTCAAAGCCCTCCAAATGTCCACTTGCAGATTCTAGAAAAAGAGGGTTTCAGAGCTGCTCTGTCAAGAGGAAAGTTCAATTCTTGAAGTGGAACACAAACATCACAAAGCAGTTTCTGAGAATGCTTCTGTTTAGTTTTTCTGTGAAGATGAACCCGTTTCCAACGAAATCTTCACAGAGGTCCACATATCAACTTGCAGAATCCAAAGAAAGAGAGTTTCAAAACTGCTCCATCAACAGGATTGTTCACCTCTGTGAGTTGAATGCAGTCATCACAGGAAACATTCTGAGAATGCTTCTGTCTAGGTTTGATGTGAAGATATACCCGTTTCGAAGGAAGGCCACAAAGTGGTCCAAATATCCACTTGCAGATTCTACAAAAAGAGTGTTTGAAAGCTGAACTATGAAAGCAAGGTTCAACTCTGTGAGTTGAATGCAAACATCACAAAGAAGTTTCTCACAATGCTTCCGTGTAGTTCTGGGAAGTTTATCCCGTTTCCAACGAAATCCTCAGAGAAGTCCAAATATCCACTTGCAGATTCTACAGAAAGTGTGTTTGGAAAATGCTCCATCTAAAGGAATGTTCAGCTCTGTTAGTTCAATCCAATGATCACTAAGAATTGTCTGTGAATGCTTCCGTTTGGTTTTTAGATGAAGTTATTTCCTTTACTACAGTAGGCCTCAAAGCAGTCCAAATCTCCAATCGCAGATTCTACAAAAAGATTGTTTACAACCTGCTCTATCTATAGGAATGTTCAACTCTGTGAGTCGAATGCAATCATCACAAAGTAGTTTCTGAGAATGCTTCCATCTAGTTTTTATGTGAAGATTTTCCTTTTGCACCACAGGCCTCAAAGCACTCCAAATGTCCACTTGCAAATTCTAGAAAAAGAGGGTTTCAGAGCTGCTCTGTCAAGAGGAAAGTTCAATTCTTGAAGTGGAACACAAACTTCACAAAGCAGTTTCTGAGAATGCTCCTGTTAAGTTTTTCTGTGAAGATGAACCCGTTTCCAACGAAATCTTCACAGAGGTCCACATATCAACTTGCAGAATCCAAAGAAAGAGAGTTTCAAAACTGCTCCATCAACAGGATTGTTCACCTCTGTGAGTTGAATGCAGTCATCACAGGAAACATTCTGAGAATGTTTCTGTCTAGGTTTGATGTGAAGATATACCCGTTTCGAAGGAAGGCCACAAAGTGGTCCAAATATCCACTTGCAGATTCTACAAAAAGAGTGTTTGAAAGCTGAACTATGAAAGCAAGGTTCAACTCTGTGAGTTGAATGCAAACATCACAAAGAAGTTTCTCAGAATGCTTCCGTGTAGTTCTGGGAAGTTTATCCCGTTTCCAACGAAATCCTCAGAGAAGTCCAAATATCCACTTGCAGATTCTACAGAAAGTGTGTTTGGAAACTGCTCCATCTAAAGGAATGTTCAGCTCTGTTAGTTCAATCCAATGATCACTAAGAATTGTCTGTGAATGCTTCCGTTTGGTTTTTAGATGAAGTTATTTCCTTTACTACAGTAGGCCTCAAAGCAGTCCAAATCTCCAATCGCAGATTCTACAAAAAGATTGTTTACAACCTGCTCTATCTATAGGAATGTTCAACTCTGTGAGTCGAATGCAATCATCACAAAGTAGTTTCTGAGAATGCTTCCATCTAGTTTTTATGTGAAGATTTTCCTTTTCCACCACAGGCCTCAAAGCCCTCCAAATGTCCACTTGCAGATTCTAGAAAAAGAGGGTTTCAGAGCTGCTCTGTCAAGAGGAAAGTTCAATTCTTGAAGTGGAACACAAACATCACAAAGCAGTTTCTGAGAATGCTTCTGTTTAGTTTTTCTGTGAAGATGAACCCGTTTCCAACGAAATCTTCACAGAGGTCGACATATCCACTTGCAGAATCCAAAGAAAGAGAGTTTCAAAACTGCTCCATCAGCAGGATTGTTCACCTCTGTGAGTTGAATGCAGTCATCACAGGAAACATTCTGAGAATGCTTCTGTCTAGGTTTGATGTGAAGATATACCCGTTTCGAAGGAAGGCCACAAAGTGGTCCAAATATCCACTTGCAGATTCTACAAAAAGAGTGTTTGAAAGCTGAACTATGAAAGCAAGGTTCAACTCTGTGAGTTGAATGCAAACATCACAAAGAAGTTTCTCACAATGCTTCCGTGTAGTTCTGGGAAGTTTATCCCGTTTCCAACGAAATCCTCAGAGAAGTCCAAATATCCACTTGCAGATTCTACAGAAAGTGGGTTTGGAAACTGCTCCATCTAAAGGAATGTTCAGCTCTGTTAGTTCAATCCAATGATCACTAAGAATTGTCTGTGAATGCTTCCGTTTGGTTTTTAGATGAAGTTATTTCCTTTACTACAGTAGGCCTCAAAGCAGTCCAAATCTCCAATCGCAGATTCTACAAAAAGATTGTTTACAACCTGCTCTATGTATAGGAATGTTCAACTCTGTGAGTCGAATGCAATCATCACAAAGTAGTTTCTGAGAATGCTTCCATCTAGTTTTTATGTGAAGATTTTCCTTTTCCACCACAGGCCTCAAAGCCCTCCAAATGTCCACTTGCAGATTCTAGAAAAAGAGGGTTTCAGAGCTGCTCTGTCAAGAGGAAAGTTCAATTCTTGAAGTGGAACACAAACATCACAAAGCAGTTTCTGAGAATGTTTCTGTTTAGTTTTTCTGTGAAGATGAACCCGTTTCCAACGAAATCTTCACAGAGGTCCACATATCAACTTGCAGAATCCAAAGAAAGAGAGTTTCAAAAGTGCTCCATCAACAGGATTGTTCACCTCTGTGAGTTGAATGCAGTCATCACAGGAAACATTCTGAGAATGCTTCTGTCTAGGTTTGATGTGAAGATATACCCGTTTCGAAGGAAGGCCACAAAGTGGTCCAAATATCCACTTGCAGATTCTACAAAAAGAGTGTTTGAAAGCTGAACTATGAAAGCAAGGTTCAACTCTGTGAGTTGAATGCAAACATCACAAAGAAGTTTCTCAGCATGCTTCCCTGTAGTTCTGGGAAGTTTATCCCGTTTCCAACGAAATCCTCAGAGAAGTCCAAATATCCACTTGCAGATTCTACAGAAAGTGGGTTTGGAAACTGCTCCATCTAAAGGAATGTTCAGCTCTGTTAGTTCAATGCAATGATCACTAAGAATTGTCTGTGAATGCTTCCGTTTGGTTTTTAGATGAAGTTATTTCCTTTACTACAGTAGGCCTCAAAGCAGTCCAAATCTCCAATCGCAGATTCTACAAAAAGATTGTTTACAACCTGCTCTATCTATAGGAATGTTCAACTCTGTGAGTCGAATGCAATCATCACAAAGTAGTTTCTGAGAATGCTTCCATCTAGTTTTTATGTGAAGATTTTCCTTTTCCACCACAGGCCTCAAAGCCCTCCAAATGTCCACTTGCAGATTCTAGAATAAGAGGGTTTTAGAGCTGCTCTGTCAAGAGGAAAGTTCAATTCCTGAAGTGGAACACAAACATCACAAAGCAGTTTCTGAGAATGCTTCTGTTTAGTTTTTCTGTGAAGATGAACCCGTTTCCAACGAAATCTTCACAGAGGTCCACATATCAACTTGCAGAATCCAAAGAAAGAGAGTTTCAAAAGTGCTCCATCAGCAGGATTGTTCACCTCTGTGAGTTGAATGCAGTCATCACAGGAAACATTCTGAGAATGCTTCTGTCTAGGTTTGATGTGAAGATATACCCGTTTCGAAGGAAGGCCACAAAGTGGTCCAAATATCCACTTGCAGATTCTACAAAAAGAGTGTTTGAAAGCTGAACTATGAAAGCAAGGTTCAACTCTGTGAGTTGAATGCAAACATCACAAAGAAGTTTCTCACAATGCTTCCGTGTAGTTCTGGGAAGTTTATCCCGTTTCCAACGAAATCCTCAGAGAGGTCCAAATATCCACTTGCAGATTCTACAGAAAGTGTGTTTGGAAACTGCTCCATCTAAAGGAATGTTCAGCTCTGTTAGTTCAATGCAATGATCACTAAGAATTGTCTGTGAATGCTTCCGTTTGGTTTTTAGATGAAGTTATTTCCTTTACTACAGTAGGCCTCAAAGCAGTCCAAATCTCCAATCGCAGATTCTACAAAAAGATTGTTTACAACCTGCTCTATCTATAGGAATGTTCAACTCTGTGAGTCGAATGCAATCATCACAAAGTAGTTTCTGAGAATGCTTCCATCTAGTTTTTATGTGAAGATTTTCCTTTTCCACCACAGGCCTCAAAGCCCTCCAAATGTCCACTTGCAGATTCTAGAATAAGAGGGTTTCAGAGCTGCTCTGTCAAGAGGAAAGTTCAATTCCTGAAGTGGAACACAAACATCACAAAGCAGTTTCTGAGAATGCTTCTGTTTAGTTTTTCTGTGAAGATGAACCCGTTTCCAACGAAATCTTCACAGAGGTCCACATATCCACTTGCAGAATCCAAAGAAAGAGAGTTTCAAAACTGCTCCATCAGCAGGATTGTTCACCTCTGTGAGTTGAATGCAGTCATCACAGGAAACATTCTGAGAATGCTTCTGTCTAGGTTTGATGTGAAGATATACCCGTTTCGAAGGAAGGCTACAAAGTGGTCCAAATATCCACTTGCAGATTCTACAAAAAGAGTGTTTGAAAGCTGAACTATGAAAGCAAGGTTCAAGTCTGTGAGTTGAATGCAAACATCACAAAGAAGTTTCTCAGAATGCTTTCCCCTGTAGTTCTGGGAAGTTTATCCCGTTTCCAAAGAAATCCTCAGAGAAGTCCAAATATCCACTTGCAGATTCTACAGAAAGTGGGTTTGGAAACTGCTCCATCTAAAAGAATGTTCAGCTCTGTTAGTTCAATCCAATGATCACTAAGAATTGTCTGTGAATGCTTTCCGTTTGGTTTTTAGATGAAGTTATTTCCTTTACTACAGTAGGCCTCAAAGCAGTCCAAATCTCCAATCGCAGATTCTACAAAAAGATTGTTTACAACCTGCTCCATCTATAGGAATGTTCAACTCTGTGAGTCGAATGCAATCATCACAAAGTAGTTTCTGAGAATGCTTCCATCTAGTTTTTATGTGAAGATTTTCCTTTTCCACCACAGGCCTCAAATCCCTCCAAATGTCCACTTGCAGATTCTAGAATAAGAGGGTTTCAGAGCTGCTCTGTCAAGAGGAAAGTTCAATTCCTGAAGTGGAACACAAACATCACAAAGCAGTTTCTGAGAATGCTTCTGTTTAGTTTTTCTGTGAAGATGAACCCGTTTCCAACGAAATCTTCACAGAGGTCCACATATCCACTTGCAGAATCCAAAGAAAGAGAGTTTCAAAACTGCTCCATCAGCAGGATTGTTCACCTCTGTGAGTTGAATGCAGTCATCACAGGAAACATTCTGAGAATGCTTCTGTCTAGGTTTGATGTGAAGATATACCCGTTTCGAAGGAAGGCCACAAAGTGTTCCAAATATCCACTTGCAGATTCTACAAAAAGAGTGTTTGAAAGCTGAACTATGAAAGCAAGTTTCAACTCTGTGAGTTGAATGCAAACATCACAAAGAAGTTTCTCAGAATGCTTCCGTGTAGTTCTGGGAAGTTTATCCCGTTTCCATCGAAATCCTCAGAGAGGTCCAAATATCCACTTGCAGATTCTACGGAAAGTGTGTTTGGAAACTGCGCCATCTAAAGGAATGTTCAGCTCTGTTAGTTCAATGCAATGATCACTAAGAATTGTCTGTGAATGCTTCCGTTTGGTTTTTAGATGAAGTTATTTCCTTTACTACAGTAGGCCTCAAAGCAGTCCAAATCTCCAATCGCAGATTCTACAAAAAGATTGTTTACAACCTGCTCTATCTATAGGAATATTCAACTCTGTGAGTCGAATGCAATCATCACAAAGTAGTTTCTGAGAATGCTTCCATCTAGTTTTTATGTGAAGATTTTCCTTTTCCACCACAGGCCTCAAAGCCCTCCAAATGTCCACTTGCAGATTCTAGAAAAAGAGGGTTTCAGAGCTGCTCTGTCAAGAGGAAAGTTCAATTCTTGAAGTGGAACACAAACATCACAAAGCAGTTTCTGAGAATGCTCCTGTTTAGTTTTTCTGTGAAGATGAACCCGTTTCCAATGAAATCTTCACAGAGGTCCACATATCCACTTGCAGAATCCAAAGAAAGAGAGTTTCAAAACTGCTCCAACAGCAGGATTGTTCACCTCTGTGAGTTGAATGCAGTCATCACAGGAAACATTCTGAGAATGCTTCTGTCTAGGTTTGATGTGAAGATATACCCTTTTCAAAGGAAGGCCACAAAGTGGTCCAAATATCCACTTGCAGATTCTACAAAAAGAGTGTTTGAAAGCTGAACTATGAAAGCAAGGTTCAACTCTGTGAGTTGAATGCAAACATCACAAAGAAGTTTCTCACAATGCTTCCGTGTAGTTCTGGGAAGTTTATCCCGTTTCCAACGAAATCCTCAGAGAAGTCCAAATATCCACTTGCAGATTCTACAGAAAGTGTGTTTGGAAAATGCTCCATCTAAAGGAATGTTCAGCTCTGTTAGTTCAATCCAATGATCACTAAGAATTGTCTGTGAATGCTTCCGTTTGGTTTTTAGATGAAGTTATTTCCTTTACTACAGTAGGCCTCAAAGCAGTCCAAATCTCCAATCGCAGATTCTACAAAAAGATTGTTTACAACCTGCTCTATCTATAGGAATGTTCAACTCTGTGAGTCGAATGCAATCATCACAAAGTAGTTTCTGAGAATGCTTCCATAAAGTTTTTATGTGAAGATTTTCCTTTTCCACCACAGGCCTCAAAGCCCTCCAAATGTCCACTTGCAGATTCTAGAAAAAGAGGGTTTCAGAGCTGCTCTGTCAAGAGGAAAGTTCAATTCTTTAAGTGGAACACAAACATCACAAAGCAGTTTCTGAGAATGCTTCTGTTTAGTTTTTCTGTGAAGATGAACCCGTTTCCAACGAAATCTTCACAGAGGTCCACATATCCACTTGCAGAATCCAAAGAAAGAGAGTTTCAAAACTGCTCCATCAGCAGGATTGTTCACCTCTGTGAGTTGAATGCAGTCATCACAGGAAACATTCTGAGAATGCTTCTGTCTAGGTTTGATGTGAAGATATACCCGTTTCGAAGGAAGGCCACAAAGTGGTCCAAATATCCACTTGCAGATTCTACAAAAAGAGTGTTTGAAAGCTGAACTATGAAAGCAAGGTTCAACTCTGTGAGTTGAATGCAAACATCACAAAGAAGTTTCTCACAATGCTTCCGTGTAGTTCTGGGAAGTTTATCCCGTTTCCAACGAAATCCTCAGAGAAGTCCAAATATCCACTTGCAGATTCTACAGAAAGTGGGTTTGGAAACTGCTCCATCTAAAGGAATGTTCAGCTCTGTTAGTTCAATGCAATGATCACTAAGAATTGTCTGTGAATGCTTCCGTTTGGTTTTTAGATGAAGTTATTTCCTTTACTACAGTAGGCCTCAAAGCAGTCCAAATCTCCAATCGCAGATTCTACAAAAAGATTGTTTACAACCTGCTCTATCTATAGGAATGTTCAACTCTGTGAGTCGAATGCAATCATCACAAAGTAGTTTCTGAGAATGCTTCCATCTAGTTATTATGTGAAGATTTTCCTTTTCCACCACAGGCCTCAAAGCCCTCCAAATGTCCACTTGCAGATTCTAGAATAAGAGGGTTTCAGAGCTGCTCTGTCAAGAGGAAAGTTCAATTCCTGAAGTGGAACACAAACATCACAAAGCAGTTTCTGAGAATGCTCCTGTTTAGTTTTTCTGTGAAGATGAACCCGTTTCCAACGAAATCTTCACAGAGGTCCACATATCCACTTGCAGAATCCAAAGAAAGAGAGTTTCAAAACTGCTCCATCAGCAGGATTGTTCACCTCTGTGAGTTGAATGCAGTCATCACAGGAAACATTCTCAGAATGCTTCTGTCTAGGTTTGATGTGAAGATATACCCGTTTCGAAGGAAGGCCACAAAGTGGTCCAAATATCCACTTGCAGATTCTACAAAAAGAGTGTTTGAAAGCTGAACTATGAAAGCAAGGTTCAACTCTGTGAGTTGAATGCAAACATCACAAATAAGTTTCTCAGAATGCTTCCGTGTAGTTCTGGGAAGTTTATCCCGTTTCCAACGAAATCCTCAGAGAAGTCCAAATATCCACTTGCAGATTCTACAGAAAGTGTGTTTGGAAACTGCGCCATCTAAAGGAATGTTCAGCTCTGTTAGTTCAATGCAATGATCACTAAGAATTGTCTGTGAATGCTTCCGTTTGGTTTTTAGATGAAGTTATTTCCTTTACTACAGTAGGCCTCAAAGCAGTCCAAATCTCCAATCGCAGATTCTACAAAAAGATTGTTTACAACCTGCTCTATGTATAGGAATGTTCAACTCTGTGAGTCGAATGCAATCATCACAAAGTAGTTTCTGAGAATGCTTCCATCTAGTTTTTATGTGAAGATTTTCCTTTTCCACCACAGGCCTCAAAGCCCTCCAAATGTCCACTTGCAGATTCTAGAAAAAGAGGGTTTCAGAGCTGCTCTGTCAAGAGGAAAGTTCAATTCTTGAAGTGGAACACAAACATCACAAAGCAGTTTCTGAGAATGCTCCTGTTTAGTTGTTCTGTGAAGATGAACCCGTTTCCAACGAAATCTTCACAGAGGTCCACATATCCACTTGCAGAATCCAAAGAAAGAGAGTTTCAAAACTGCTCCATCAGCAGGATTGTTCACCTCTGTGAGTTGAATGCAGTCATCACAGGAAACATTCCGAGAATGCTTCTGTCTAGGTTTGATGTGAAGATATACCCGTTTCGAAGGAAGGCCACAAAGTGGTCCAAATATCCACTTGCAGATTCTACAAAAAGAGTGTTTGAAAGCTGAACTATGAAAGCAAGGTTCAACTCTGTGAGTTGAATGCAAACATCACAAAGAAGTTTCTCAGAATGCTTCCGTGTAGTTCTGGGAAGTTTATCCCGTTTCCAACGAAATCCTCAGAGAAGTCCAAATATCCACTTGCAGATTCTACAGAAAGTGTGTTTGGAAACTGCGCCATCTAAAGGAATGTTCAGCTCTGTTAGTTCAATGCAATGATCACTAAGAATTGTCTGTGAATGCTTCCGTTTGGTTTTTAGATGAAGTTATTTCCTTTACTACAGTAGGCCTCAAAGCAGTCCAAATCTCCAATCGCAGATTCTACAAAAACACTGTTTACAACCTGCTCTATCTATAGGAATGTTCAACTCTGTGAGTCGAATGCAATCATCACAAAGTAGTTTCTGAGAATGCTTCCATCTAGTTTTTATGTGAAGATTTTCCTTTTCCACCACAGGCCTCAAAGTCCTCCAAATGTCCACTTGCAGATTCTAGAATAAGAGGGTTTCAGAGCTGCTCTGTCAAGAGGAAAGTTTAATTCCTGAAGTGGAACACAAACATCACAAAGCAGTTTCTGAGAATGCTTCTGTTTAGTTTTTCTGTGAAGATGAACCCGTTTCCAAAGAAATCTTCACAGAGGTCCACATATCCACTTGCAGAATCCAAAGAAAGAGAGTTTCAAAACTGCTCCATCAGCAGGATTGTTCACCTCTGTGAGTTGAATGCAGTCATCACAGGAAACATTCTGAGAA
This sequence comes from Homo sapiens, assembly GCF_000001405.40. Lineage (NCBI taxonomy): Eukaryota > Metazoa > Chordata > Mammalia > Primates > Hominidae > Homo > Homo sapiens. Next base: position 52,161,702 of record NC_000011.10, on the reverse strand, counting down.
TGCTTCTGTCTAGGTTTGATGTGAAGATATACCCGTTTCGAAGGAAGGCCACAAAGTGGTCCAAATATCCACTTGCAGATTCTACAAAAAGAGTGTTTGAAAGCTGAACTATGAAAGCAAGGTTCAACTCTGTGAGTTGAATGCAAACATCACAAAGAAGTTTCTCAGAATGCTTCCCTGTAGTTCTGGGAAGCATATCCCGTTTCCAACGAAATCCTCAGAGAGGTCCAAATATCCACTTGCAGATTCTACAGAAAGTGTGTTTGGAAACTGCTCCATCTAAAGGAATGTTCAGCTCTGTTAGTTCAATGCAATGATCATTAAGAATTGTCTGTGAATGCTTCCGTTTGGTTTTTAGATGAAGTTATTTCCTTTACTACAGTAGGCCTCAAAGCAGTCCAAATCTCCAATCGCAGATTCTACAAAAAGATTGTTTACAACCTGCTCTATCTATAGGAATGTTCAACTCTGTGAGTCGAATGCAATCATCACAAAGTAGTTTCTGAGAATGCTTCCATCTAGTTTTTATGTGAAGATTTTCCTTTTCCACCACAGGCCTCAAAGCCCTCCAAATGTCCACTTGCATATTCTAGAAAAAGAGGGTTTCAGAGCTGCTCTGTGAAGAGGAAAGTTCAATTCTTGAAGTGGAACACAAACATCACAAAGCAGTTTCTGAGAATGCTTCTGTTTAGTTTTTCTGTGAAGATGAACCCGTTTCCAACGAAATCTTCACAGAGTTCCACATATCCACTTGCAGAATCCAAAGAAAGAGAGTTTCAAAACTGCTCCATCAGCAGGATTGTTCACCTCTGTGAGTTGAATGCAGTCATCACAGGAAACATTCTGAGAATGCTTCTGTCTAGGTTTGATGTGAAGATATACCCGTTTCGAAGGAAGGCCACAAAGTGGTCCAAATATCCACTTGCAGATTCTACAAAAAGAGTGTTTGAAAGCTGAACTATGAAAGCAGGGTTCAACTCTGTGAGTTGAATGCAAACATCACAAAGAAGTTTCTCAGAATGCTTCCGTGTAGTTCTGGGAATTTTATCCCGTTTCCAACGAAATCCTCAGGGAGGTCCAAATATCCACTTGCAGATTCTACAGAAAGTGTGTTTGGAAACTGCGCCATCTAAAGGAATGTTCAGCTCTGTTAGTTCAATGCAATGATCACTAAGAATTGTCTGTGAATGCTTCCGTTTGGTTTTTAGATGAAGTTATTTCCTTTACTACAGTAGGCCTCAAAGCAGTCCAAATCTCCTATCGCAAATTCTACAAAAAGATTGTTTTCAACCTGCTCTATCTATAGGAATGTTCAACTCTGTGAGTCGAATGCAATCATCACAAAGTAGTTTCTGAGAATGCTTCCATCTAGTTTTTATGGGAAGATTTTCCTTTTCCACCACAGGCCTCAAAGCCCTCCAAATGTCCACTTGCAGATTCTAGAAAAAGAGGGTTTCAGAGCTGCTCTGTCAAGAGGAAAGTTCAATTGCTTGAAGTGGAACACAAACATCACAAAGCAGTTTCTGAGAATGCTCCTGTTTAGTTTTTCTGTGAAGATGAACCCGTTTCCAACGAAATCTTCACAGAGGTCCACATATCCACTTGCAGAATCCAAAGAAAGAGAGTTTCAAAACTGCTCCATCAGCAGGATTGTTCACCTCTGTGAGTTGAATGCAGTCATCACAGGAAACATTCTGAGAATGCTTCTGTCTAGGTTTGATGTGAAGATATACCCGTTTCGAAGGAAGGCCAGAAAGTGGTCCAAATATCCACTTGCAGATTCTACAAAAAGAGTGTTTGAAAGCTGAACTATGAAAGCAAGGTTCAACTCTGTGAGTTGAATGCAAACATCACAAAGAAGTTTCTCAGAATGCTTCCGTGTAGTTCTGGGAAGTTTATCCCGTTTCCAACGAAATCCTCAGAGAGGTCCAAATATCCACTTGCAGATTCTACAGAAAGTGTGTTTGGAAACTGCGCCATCTAAAGGAATGTTCAGCTCTGTTAGTTCAATCCAATGATCACTAAGAATTGTCTGTGAATGCTTCCGTTTGGTTTTTAGATGAAGTTATTTCCTTTACTACAGTAGGCCTCAAAGCAGTCCAAATCTCCAATCGCAGATTCTACAAAAAGATTGTTTACAACCTGCTCTATCTATAGGAATGTTCAACTCTGTGAGTCGAATGCAATCATCACAAAGTAGTTTCTGAGAATGCTTCCATCTAGTTTTTATGTGAAGATTTTCCTTTTCCACCACAGGCCTCAAAGCCCTCCAAATGTCCACTTGCAGATTCTAGAATAAGAGGGTTTCAGAGCTGCTCTGTCAAGAGGAAAGTTCAATTCCTGAAGTGGAACACAAACATCACAAAGCAGTTTCTGAGAATGCTTCTGTTTAGTTTTTCTGTGAAGATGAACCCGTTTCCAACGAAATCTTCACAGAGGTCCACATATCCACTTGCAGAATCCAAAGAAAGAGAGATTCAAAACTGCTCCATCAACAGGATTGTTCACCTTTGTGAGTTGAATGCAGTCATCACAGGAAACATTCTGAGAATGCTTCTGTCTAGGTTTGATGTGAAGATATACCCGTTTCGAAGGAAGGCCACAAAGTGGTCCAAATATCCACTTGCAGATTCTACAAAAAGAGTGTTTGAAAGCTGAACTATGAAAGCAAGGTTCAACTCTGTGAGTTGAATGCAAACATCACAAAGAAGTTTCTCAGAATGCTTCCGTGTAGTTCTGGGAAGTTTATCCCTTTTCCAACGAAATCCTCAGAGAGGTCCAAATATCCACTTGCAGATTCTACAGAAAGTGTGTTTGGAAACTGCTCCATCTAAAGGAATGTTCAGCTCTGTTAGTTCAATCCAATGATCACTAAGAATTTTCTGTGAATGCTTCCGTTTGGTTTTTAGATGAAGTTATTTCCTTTACTACAGTAGGCCTCAAAGCAGTCCAAATCTCCAATCGCAGATTCTACAAAAAGATTGTTTTCAACCTGCTCTATCTATAGGAATGTTCAACTCTGTGAGTCGAATGCAATCATCACAAAGTAGTTTCTGAGAATGCTTCCATCTAGTTTTTATGTGAAGATTTTCCTTTTCCACCACAGGCCTCAAAGACCTCCAAATGTCCACTTGCAGATTCTAGAAAAAGAGGGTTTCAGAGCTGCTCTGTCAAGAGGAAAGTTCAATTCCTGAAGTGGAACACAAACATCACAAAGCAGTTTCTGAGAATGCTTCTGTTTAGTTTTTCTGTGAAGATGAACCCGTTTCCAACGAAATCTTCACAGAGGTCCACATATCAACTTGCAGAATCCAAAGAAAGAGAGTTTCAAAACTGCTCCATCAACAGGATTGTTCACCTCTGTGAGTTGAATGCAGTCATCACAGGAAACATTCTGAGAATGCTTCTGTCTAGGTTTGATGTGAAGATATACCCGTTTCGAAGGAAGGCCACAAAGTGGTCCAAATATCCACTTGCAGATTCTACAAAAAGAGTGTTTGAAAGCTGAACTATGAAAGCAAGGTTCAACTCTGTGAGTTGAATGCAAACATCACAAAGAAGTTTCTCACAATGCTTCCGTGTAGTTCTGGGAAGTTTATCCCGTTTCCAACGAAATCCTCAGAGAGGTCCAAATATCCACTTGCAGATTCTACCGAAAGTGTGTTTGGAAACTGCGCCATCTAAAGGAATGTTCAGCTCTGTTTGTTCAATCCAATGATCACTAAGAATTGTCTGTGAATGCTTCCGTTTGGTTTTTAGATGAAGTTATTTCCTTTACTACAGTAGGCCTCAAAGCAGTCCAAATTTCCAATCGCAGATTCTACAAAAAGATTGTTTACAACCTGCTCTATCTATAGGAATGTTCAACTCTGTGAGTCGAATGCAATCATCACAAAGTAGTTTCTGAGAATGCTTCCATCTAGTTTTTATGTGAAGATTTTCCTTTTCCACCACAGGCCTCAAAGCCCTCCAAATGTCCACTTGCAGATTCTAGAATAAGAGGATTTCATAGCTGCTCTGTCAAGAGGAAAGTTCAATTCCTGAAGTGGAACACAAACATCACAAAGCAGTTTCTGAGAATGCTTCTGTTTAGTTTTTCTGTGAAGATGAACCCGTTTCCAACGAAATCTTCACAGAGGTCCACATATCCACTTGCAGAATCCAAAGAAAGAGAGTTTCAAAACTGCTCCATCAGCAGGATTGTTCACCTCTGTGAGTTGAATGCAGTCATCACAGGAAACATTCTGAGAATGCTTCTGTCTAGGTTTGATGTGAAGATATACCCGTTTCGAAGGAAGGCCACAAAGTGGTCCAAATATCCACTTGCAGATTCTACAAAAAGAGTGTTTGAAAGCTGAACTATGAAAGCAAGGTTCAACTCTGTGAGTTGAATGCAAACATCACAAAGAAGTTTCTCCCAATGCTTCCGTGTAGTTCTGGGAAGTTTATCCCGTTTCCAACGAAATCCTCAGAGAAGTCCAAATATCCACTTGCAGATTCTACAGAAAGTGTGTTTGGAAACTGCTCCATCTAAAGGAATGTTCAGCTCTGTTAGTTCAATCCAATGATCACTAAGAATTGTCTGTGAATGCTTCCGTTTGGTTTTTAGATGAAGTTATTTCCTTTACTACAGTAGGCCTCAAAGCAGTCCAAATCTCCAATCGCAGATTCTACAAAAAGATTGTTTACAACCTGCTCTATCTATAGGAATGTTCAACTCTGTGAGTCGAATGCAATCATCACAAAGTAGTTTCTGAGAATGCTTCCATCTAGTTTTTATGTGAAGATTTTCCTTTTCCACCACAGGCCTCAAAGCCCTCCAAATGTCCACTTGCAGATTCTAGAAAAAGAGGGTTTCAGAGCTGCTCTGTCAAGAGGAAAGTTCAATTCTTGAAGTGGAACACAAACATCACAAAGCAGTTTCTGAGAATGCTTCTGTTTAGTTTTTCTGAGAAGATGAACCCGTTTCCAACGAAATCTTCACAGAGGTCCACATATCAACTTGCAGAATCCAAAGAAAGAGAGTTTCAAAACTGCTCCATCAACAGGATTGTTCACCTCTGTGAGTTGAATGCAGTCATCACAGGAAACATTCTGAGAATGCTTCTGTCTAGGTTTGATGTGAAGATATACCCGTTTCGAAGGAAGGCCACAAAGTTGTCAAATATCCACTTGCAGATCCTACAAAAAGAGTGTTTGAAAGCTGAACTATGAAAGCAAGGTTCAACTCTGTGAGTTGAATGCAAACATCACAAAGAAGTTTCTCAGAATGCTTCCGTGTAGTTCTGGGAAGTTTATCCCTTTTCCAACGAAATCCTCAGAGAGGTCCAAATATCCACTTGCAGATTCTACAGAAAGTGTGTTTGGAAACTGCTCCATCTAAAGGAATGTTCAGCTCTGTTACTTCAATCCAATGATCACTAAGAATTGTCTGTGAATGCTTCCGTTTGGTTTTTAGATGAAGTTATTTCCTTTACTACAGTAGGCCTCAAAGCAGTCCAAATCTCCAATCGCAGATTCTACAAAAAGATTGTTTACAACCTGCTCTATCTATAGGAATGTTCAACTCTGTGAGTCGAATGCAATCATCACAAAGTAGTTTCTGAGAATGCTTCCATCTAGTTTTTATGTGAAGATTTTCCTTTTCCACCACAGGCCTCAAAGCCCTCCAAATGTCCACTTGCAGATTCTAGAATAAGAGGGTTTTAGAGCTGCTCTGTCAAGAGGAAAGTTCAATTCCTGAAGTGGAACACAAACATCACAAAGCAGTTTCTGAGAATGCTTCTGTTTAGTTTTTCTGTGAAGATGAACCCGTTTCCAACGAAATCTTCACAGAGGTCCACATATCCACTTGCAGAATCCAAAGAAAGAGAGTTTCAAAACTGCTCCATCAACAGGATTGTTCACCTCTGTGAGTTGAATGCAGTCATCACAGGAAACATTCTGAGAATGCTTCTGTCTAGGTTTGATGTGAAGATATACCCGTTTCGAAGGAAGGCCAGAAAGTGGTCCAAATATCCACTTGCAGATTCTACAAAAAGAGTGTTTGAAAGCTGAACTATGAAAGCAAGGTTCAACTCTGTGAGTTGAATGCAAACATCACAAAGAAGTTTCTCAGAATGCTTCCGTGTAGTTCTGGGAAGTTTATCCCGTTTCCAACGAAATCCTCAGAGAAGTCCAAATATCCACTTGCAGATTCTACAGAAAGTGGGTTTGGAAACTGCTCCATCTAAAGGAATGTTCAGCTCTGTTAGTTCAATCCAATGATCACTAAGAATTGTCTGTGAATGCTTCCGTTTGGTTTTTAGATGAAGTTATTTCCTTTACTACAGTAGGCCTCAAAGCAGTCCAAATTTCCAATCACAGATTCTACAAAAAGATTGTTTTCAACCTGCTCTATCTATAGGAATGTTCAACTCTGTGAGTCGAATGCAATCATCACAAAGTAGTTTCTGAGAATGATTCCATCTAGTTTTTATGTGAAGATTTTCCTTTTCCACCACAGGCTTCAAAGCCCTCCAAATGTCCACTTGCAGATTCTAGAAAAAGAGGGTTTCAGAGCTACTCTGTCAAGAGGAAAGTTCAATTCCTGAAGTGGAACACAAACATCACAAAGCAGTTTCTGAGAATGCTCCTGTTTAGTTTTTCTGTGAAGATGAACCCGTTTCCAACGAAATCTTCACAGAGGTCCACATATCCACCTGCAGAATCCAAAGAAAGAGAGTTTCAAAACTGCTCCATCAGCAGGATTGTTCACCTCTGTGAGTTGAATGCAGTCATCACAGGAAACATTCTGAGAATGCTTCTGTCTAGGTTTCATGTGGAGATATACCCGTTTGGAAGGAAGGCCAAATGTGGTCCAAATATCCACTTGCAGATTCTACAAAAAGAGTGTTTGAAAGCTGAACTATGAAAGCAAGGTTCAACCCTGTGAGTTGAATGCAAACATCACAAAGAAGTTTCTCACAATTCTTCCGTGTAGTTCTGGGAAGTTTATCCCGTTTCCAACGAAATCCTCAGAGAGGTCCAAATATCCACTTGCAGATTCTACAGAAAGTGTGTTTGGAAACTGCGCCATCTAAAGGAATGTTCAGCTCTGTTAGTTCAATGCAATGATCACTAAGAATTGTCTGTGAATGCTTCCGTTTGGTTTTTAGATGAAGTTATTTCCTTTACTACAGTAGGCCTCAAAGCAGTCCAAATTTCCAATCGCAGATTCTACAAAAAGATTGTTTACAACGTGCTCTATCTATAGGAATGTTCAACTCTGTGAGTCGAATGCAATCATCACAAAGTAGTTTCTGAGAATGCTTCCATCTAGTTTTTATGTGAAGATTTTCCTTTTCCACCACAGGCCTCAAAGCCCTCCAAATGTCCACTTGCAGATTCTGGAAAAAGAGGGTTTCAGAGCTGCTCTGTCAAGAGGAAAGTTCAATTCTTGAAGGTGGAACACAAACATCACAAAGTAGTTTCTGAGAATGCTTCTGTTTAGTTTTTCTGTGAAGATGAACCCGTTTCCAACGAAATCTGCACAGAGGTCCACATATCCACTTGTAGAATCCAAAGAAAGAGAGTTTCAAAACTGCTCCATCAGCAGGATTGTTCACCTCTGTGAGTTGAATGCAGTCATCACAGGAAACATTCTGAGAATGCTTCTGTCTAGGTTTGATGTGAAGATATACCCGTTTCGAAGGAAGGCCACAAAGTGGTCCAAATATCCACTTGCAGATTCTACAAAAAGAGTGTTTGAAAGTTGAACTATGAAAGCAAGGTTCAACTCTGTGAGTTGAATGCAAACATCACAAAGAAGTTTCTCAGAATGCTTCCCTGTAGTTCTGGGAAGCATATCCCGTTTCCAACGAAATCCTCAGAGAAGTCCAAATATCCACTTGCAGATTCTACAGAAAGTGGGTTTGGAAACTGCTCCATCTAAAGGAATGTTCAGCTCTGTTAGTTCAATGCAATGATGACTAAGAATTGTCTGTGAATGCTTCCGTTTGGTTTTTAGATGAAGTTATTTCCTTTACTACAGTAGGCCTCAAAGCAGTCCAAATCTCCAATCGCAGATTCTACAAAAAGATTGTTTACAACCTGCTCTATGTATAGGAATGTTCAACTCTGTGAGTCGAATGCAATCATCACAAAGTAGTTTCTGAGAATGCTTCCATCTAGTTTTTATGTGAAGATTTTCCTTTTCCACCACAGGCCTCAAAGCCCTCCAAATGTCCACTTGCAGATTCTAGAAAAAGAGGGTTTCAGAGCTGCTCTGTCAAGAGGAAAGTTCAATTCTTGTAGTGGAACACAAACATCACAAAGCAGTTTCTGAGAATGCTTCTGTTTAGTTTTTCTGTGAAGATAAACCCGTTTCCAATGAAATCTTCACAGAGGTCCACATATCCACTTGCAGAATCCAAAGAAAGAGAGTTTCAAAACTGCTCCATCAGCAGGATTGTTCACCTCTGTGAGTTGAATGCAGTCATCACAGGAAACATTCTGAGAATGCTTCTGTCTAGGTTTGATGTGAAGATATACCCGTTTCGAAGGAAGGCCACAAAGTGGTCCAAATATCCACTTGCAGATTCTACAAAAAGAGTGTTTGAAAGCTGAACTATGAAAGCAAGGTTCAACTCTGTGAGTTGAATGCAAAAATCACAAAGAAGTTTCTCAGAATACTTCCGTGTAGTTCTGGGAAGTTTATCCCGTTTCCAACGAAATCCTCAGAGAGGTCTAAATATCCACTTGCAGATTCTACAGAAAGTGTGTTTGGAAACTGCTCCATCTAAAGGAATGCTCAGCTCTGTTAGTTCAATCCAATGATCACTAAGAATTGTCTGTGAATGCTTCCGTTTGGTTTTTAGATGAAGTTATTTCCTTTACTACAGTAGGCCTCAAAGCAGTCCAAATCTCCAATCGCAGATTCTACAAAAAGATTGTTTACAACCTGCTCTATCTATAGGAATGTTCAACTATGTGAGTCGAATGCAATCATCACAAAGTAGTTTCTGAGAATGCTTCCATCTAGTTTTTATGTGAAGATTTTCCTTTTCCACCACAGGCCTCAAAGCCCTCCAAATGTCCACTTGCAGATTCTAGAAAAAGAGGGTTTCAGAGCTGCTCTGTCAAGAGGAAAGTTCAATTCTTGAAGTGGAACACAAACATCACAAAGCAGTTTCTGAGAATGCTTCTGTTTAGTTTTTCTGTGAAGATGAACCCGTTTCCAACGAAATCTTCACAGAGGTCCACATATCCACTTGCAGAATCCAAAGAAAGAGAGATTCAAAACTGCTCCATCAACAGGATTGTTCACCTCTGTGAGTTGAATGCAGTCATCACAGGAAACATTCTGAGAATGCTTCTGTCTAGGTTTGATGTGAAGATATACCCGTTTCGAAGGAAGGCCACAAAGTGGTCCAAATATCCACTTGCAGATTCTACAAAAAGAGTGTTTGAAAGCTGAACTATGAAAGCAAGGTTCAACCCTGTGAGTTGAATGCAAACATCACAAAGAAGTTTCTCAGAATGCTTCCGTGTAGTTCTGGGAAGTTTATCCCGTTTCCAACGAAATCCTCAGAGAAGTCCAAATATCCACTTGCAGATTCTACAGAAAGTGGGTTTGGAAACTGCTCCATCTAAAGGAATGTTCAACTCTGTTAGTTCAATCCAATGATCACTAAGAATTGTCTGTGAATGCTTCCGTTTGGTTTTTAGATGAAGTTATTTCCTTTACTACAGTAGGCCTCAAAGCAGTCCAAATCTCCAATCGCAGATTCTACAAAAAGATTGTTTACAACCTGCTCTATCTATAGGAATGTTCAACTCTGTGAGTCGAATGCAATCATCACAAAGTAGTTTCTGAGAATGCTTCCATCTAGTTTTTATGTGAAGATTTTCCTTTTCCACCACAGGCCTCAAAGCCCTCCAAATGTCCACTTGCAGATTCTAGAATAAGAGGGTTTCAGAGCTGCTCTGTCAAGAGGAAAGTTCAATTCCTGAAGTGGAACACAAACATCACAAAGCAGTTTCTGAGAATGCTTCTGTTTAGTTTTTCTGTGAAGATGAACCCGTTTCCAACGAAATCTTCACAGAGGTCCACATATCCACTTGCAGAATCCAAAGAAAGAGAGTTTCAAAAGTGCTCCATCAACAGGATTGTACACCTCTGTGAGTTGAATGCAGTCATCACAGGAAACATTCTGAGAATGCTTCTGTCTAGGTTTGATGTGAAGATATACCCGTTTCGAAGGAAGGCCACAAAGTGGTCCAAATATCCACTTGCAGATTCTACAAAAAGAGTGTTTGAAAGCTGAACTATGAAAGCAAGGTTCAACTCTGTGAGTTGAATGCAAACATCACAAAGAAGTTTCTCAGCATGCTTCCGTGTAGTTCTGGGAAGTTTATCCCGTTTCCAACGAAATCCTCAGAGAGGTCCAAATATCCACTTGCAGATTCTACAGAAAGTGTGTTTGGAAACTGCGCCATCTAAAGCAATGTTCAGCTCTGTTAGTTCAATGCAATGATCACTAAGAATTGTCTGTGAATGCTTCCGTTTGGTTTTTAGATGAAGTTATTTCCTTTACTACAGTAGGCCTCAAAGCAGTCCAAATCTCTAATCGCAGATTCTACAAAAAGATTGTTTACAACCTGCTCTCCCTATAGGAATGTTGAACTCTGTGAGTCGAATGCAATCATCACAAAGTAGTTTCTGAGAATGCTTCCATCTAGTTTTTATGTGAAGATTTTCCTTTTCCACCACAGGCCTCAAAGCCCTCCAAATGTCCACTTGCAGATTCTAGAAAAAGAGGGTTTCAGAGCTGCTCTGTCAAGAGGAAAGTTCAATTCTTGAAGTGGAACAGAAACATCACAAAGCAGTTTCTGGGAATGCTTCTGTTTAGTTTTTCTGTGAAGATGAACCCGTTTCCAACGAAATCTTCACAGAGGTCCACATATCCACTTGCAGAATCCAAAGAAAGAGAGTTTCAAAACTGCTCCATCAGCAGGATTGTTCACCTCTGTGAGTTGAATGCAGTCATCACAGGAAACATTCTGAGAATGCTTCTGTCTAGGTTTGATGTGAAGATATACCCGTTTCGAAGGAAGGCCACAAAGTGGTCCAAATATCCACTTGCAGATTCTACAAAAAGAGTGTTTGAAAGCTGAACTATGAAAGCAAGGTTCAACTCTGTGAGTTGAATGCAAACATCACAAAGAAGTTTCTCACAATGCTTCCGTGTAGTTCTGGGAAGTTTATCCCGTTTCCAACGAAATCCTCAGAGAAGTCCAAATATCCACTTGCAGATTCTACAGAAAGTGTGTTTGGAAACTGCTCCATCTAGAGGAATGTTCAGCTCTGTTAGTTCAATCCAATGATCACTAAGAATTGTCTGTGAATGCTTCCGTTTGGTTTTTAGATGAAGTTATTTCCTTTACTACAGTAGGCCTCAAAGCAGTCCAAATCTCCAATCGCAGATTCTACAAAAAGATTGTTTACAACCTGCTCTATCTATAGGAATGTTCAACTCTGTGAGTCGAATGCAATCATCACAAAGTAGTTTCTGAGAATGCTTCCATCTAGTTTTTATGTGAAGATTTTCCTTTTCCACCACAGGCCTCAAAGCCCTCCAAATGTCCACTTGCAGATTCTAGAAAAAGAGGGTTTCAGAGCTGCTCTGTCAAGAGGAAAGTTCAATTCTTGAAGTGGAACACAAACATCACAAAGCAGTTTCTGAGAATGTTTCTGTTTAGTTTTTCTGTGAAGATGAACCCGTTTCCAACGAAATCTTCACAGAGGTCCACATATCCACTTGCAGAATCCAAAGAAAGAGAGTTTCAAAACTGCTCCATCAGCAGGATTGTTCACCTCTGTGAGTTGAATGCAGTCATCACAGGAAACATTCTGAGAATGCTTCTGTCTAGGTTTGATGTGAAGATATACCCGTTTCGAAGGAAGGCCACAAAGTGGTCCAAATATCCACTTGCAGATTCTACAAAAAGAGTGTTTGAAAGCTGAACTATGAAAGCAAGGTTCAACTCTGTGAGTTGAATGCAAACATCACAAAGAAGTTTCTCAGAATACTTCCGTGTAGTTCTGGGAAGTTTATACCGTTTCCAACGAAATCCTTAGAGAAGTCCAAATATCCACTTGCAGATTCTACAGAAAGTGTGTTTGGAAACTGCTCCATCTAAAGGAATGTTCAGCTCTGTTAGTTCAATCCAATGATCACTAAGAATTGTCTGTGAATGCTTCCGTTTGGTTTTTAGATGAAGTTATTTCCTTTACTACAGTAGGCCTCAAAGCAGTCCAAATTTCCAATCGCAGATTCTACAAAAAGATTGTTTACAACCTGCTCTATCTATAGGAATGTTCAACTCTGTGAGTCGAATGCAATCATCACAAAGTAGTTTCTGAGAATGCTTCCATCTAGTTTTTATGTGAAGATTTTCCTTTTCCACCACAGGCCTCAAAGCCCTCCAAATGTCCACTTGCAGATTCTAGAATAAGAGGGTTTCAGAGCTGCTCTGTCAAGAGGAAAGTTCAATTCTTGAAGTGGAACACAAACATAACAAAGCAGTTTCTGAGAATGCTTCTGTTTAGTTTTTCTGTGAAGATGAACCCGTTTCCAACGAAATCTTCACAGAGGTCCACATATCCACTTGCAGAATCCAAAGAAAGAGAGTTTCAAAACTGCTCCATCAGCAGGATTGTTCACCTCTGTGAGTTGAATGCAGTCATCACAGGAAACATTCTGAGAATGCTTCTGTCTAGATTTGATGTGAAGATATACCCGTTTCGAAGGAAGGCCACAAAGTGGTCCAAATATCCACTTGCAGATTCTACAAAAAGAGGGTTTGAAAGCTGAACTATGAAAGCAAGGTTCAACTCTCTGAGTTGAAAGCAAACATCACAAAGAAGTTTCTCAGAATGCTTCCGTGTAGTTCTGGGAAGTTTATCCCGTTTCCAACGAAATCCTCAGAGAGGTCCAAATATCCACTTGCAGATTCTACAGAAAGTGTGTTTGGAAACTGCGCCATCTAAAGGAATGTTCAGCTCTGTTAGTTCAATGCAATGATCACTAAGAATTGTCTGTGAATGCTTCCGTTTGGTTTTTAGATGAAGTTATTTCCTTTACTACAGTAGGCCTCAAAGCAGTCCAAATCTCCAATCGCAGATTCTACAAAAAGATTGTTTACAACCTGCTCTATCTATAGGAATGTTCAACTCTGTGAGTCGAATGCAATCATAACAAAGTAGTTTCTGAGAATGCTTCCATCTAGTTTTTATGTTAAGATTTTCCTTTTCCACCACAGGCCTCAAAGCCCTCCAAATGTCCACTTGCAGATTCTAGAAAAAGAGGGTTTCAGAGCTGCTCTGTCGAGAGGAAAGTTCAATTCTTGAAGTGGAACACAAACATCACAAAGCAGTTTCTGAGAATGCTCCTGTTTAGTTTTTCTGTGAAGATGAACCCGTTTCCAACGAAATCTTCACAGAGGTCCACATATCCACTTGCAGAATCCAAAGAAAGAGAGTTTCAAAACTGCTCCATCAGCAGGATTGTTCACCTCTGTGAGTTGAATGCAGTCATCACAGGAAACATTCTGAGAATGCTTCTGTCTAGGTTTGATGTGAAGATATACCCGTTTCGAAGGAAGGCCAGAAAGTGGTCCAAATATCCACTTGCAGATTCTACAAAAAGAGTGTTTGAAAGCTGAACTATGAAAGCAAGGTTCAACTCTGTGAGTTGAATGCAAACATCACAAAGAAGTTTCTCAGAATGCTTCCGTGTAGTTCTGGGAAGTTTATCCCGTTTCCAACGAAATCCTCAGAGAAGTCCAAATATCCACTTGCAGATTCTACAGAAAGTGTGTTTGGAAACTGCGCCATCTAAAGGAATGTTCAGCTCTGTTAGTTCAATGCAATGATCACTAAGAATTGTCTGTGAATGCTTCCGTTTGGTTTTTAGATGAAGTTATTTCCTTTACTGCAGTAGGCCTCAAAGCATTCCAAATCTCGAATCGCAGATTCTACAAAAAGATTGTTTACAACCTGCTCTATCTATAGGAATGTTCAACTCTGTGAGTCGAATGCAATCATCACAAAGTAGTTTCTGAGAATGCTTCCATCTAGTTTTTATGTGAAGATTTTCCTTTTCCACCACAGGCCTCAAAGCCCTCCAAATGTCCACTTGCAGATTCTAGTAAAAGAGGGTTTCAGAGCTGCTCTGTCAAGAGGAAAGTTCAATTCTTGAAGTGGAACACAAACATCACAAAGCAGTTTCTGAGAATGCTCCTGTTTAGTTTTTCTGTGAAGATGAACCCGTTTCCAACGAAATCTTCACAGAGGTCCACATATCCACTTGCAGAATCCAAAGAAAGAGAGTTTCAAAACTGCTCCATCAGCAGGATTGTTCACCTCTGTGAGTTGAATGCAGTCATCACAGGAAACATTCTGAGAATGCTTCTGTCTAGGTTTGATGTGAAGATATACCCGTTTCGAAGGAAGGCCACAAAGTGGTCCAAATATCCACTTGCAGATTCTACAAAAAGAGTGTTTGAAAGCTGAACTATGAAAGCAAGGTTCAACTCTGTGAGTTGAATGCAAACATCACAAAGAAGTTTCTCACAATGCTTCCGTGTAGTTCTGGGAAGTTTATCCCGTTTCCAACGAAATCCTCAGAGAAGTCCAAATATCCACTTGCAGATTCTACAGAAAGTGTGTTTGGAAACTGCTCCATCTAAAGGAATGTTCAGCTCTGTTAGTTCAATCCAATGATCACTAAGAATTGTCTGTGAATGCTTCCGTTTGGTTTTTAGATGAAGTTATTTCCTTTACTACAGTAGGCCTCAAAGCAGAACAAATCTCCAATCGCAGATTCTACAAAAAGATTGTTTACAACCTGCTCTATCTATAGGAATGTTCAACTCTGTGAGTCGAATGCAATCATCACAAAGTAGTTTCTGAGAATGCTTCCATCTAGTTTTTATGTGAAGATTTTCCTTTTCCACCACAGGCCTCAAAGCCCTCCAAATGTCCACTTGCAGATTCTAGAATAAGAGGGTTTCAGAGCTGCTCTGTCAAGAGGAAAGTTCAATTCCTGAAGTGGAACACAAACATCACAAAGCAGTTTCTGAGAATGCTTCTGTTTAGTTTTTCTGTGAAGATGAACCCGTTTCCAACGAAATCTTCACAGAGGTCCACATATCCACTTGCAGAATCCAAAGAAAGAGTGTTTCAAAACTGCTCCATCAGCAGGATTGTTCACCTCTGTGAGTTGAATGCAGTCATCACAGGAAACATTCTGAGAATGCTTCTGTCTAGGTTTGATGTGAAGATATACCCGTTTCGAAGGAAGGCCACAAAGTGGTCCAAATATCCACTTGCAGATTCTACAAAAAGAGTGTTTGAAAGCTGAACTATGAAAGCAAGGTTCAACTCTGTGAGTTGAATGCAAACATCACAAAGAAGTTTCTCAGAATGCTTCCGTGTAGTTCTGGGAAATTTATCCCGTTTCCAACGAAATCCTCAGAGAGGTCCAAATATCCACTTGCAGATTCTACAGAAAGTGTGTTTGGAAACTGCGCCATCTAAAGGAATGTTCAGCTCTGTTAGTTCAATGCAATGATCACTAAGAATTGTCTGTGATTGCTTCCGTTTGGTTTTTAGATGAAGTTATTTCCTTTACTACAGTAGGCCTCAAAGCAGTCCAAATCTCCAATCGCAGATTCTACAAAAAGATTGTTTACAACCTGCTCTATCTATAGGAATGTTCAACTCTGTGAGTCGAATGCAATCATCACAAAGTAGTTTCTGAGAATGCTTCCATCTAGTTTTTATGTGAAGATTTTCCTTTTCCACCACAGGCCTCAAAGCCCTCCAAATGTCCACTTGCAGATTCTAGAAAAAGAGGGTTTCAGAGCTGCTCTGTCAAGAGGAAAGTTCAACTCTTGAAGTGGAACACAAACATGATAATGCAGTTTCTGAGAATGCTCCTGTTTAGTTTTTCTGTGAAGATGAACCCGTTTCCAACGAAATCTTCACAGAGGTCCACATATCCACTTGCTGAATCCAAAGAAAGAGAGTTTCAAAACTGCTCCATCAGCAGGATTGTTCACCTCTGTGAGTTGAATGCAGTCATCACAGGAAACATTCTGAGAATGCTTCTGTCTAGGTTTGATGTGAAGATATACCCGTTTCGAAGGAAGGCCACAAAGTGGTCCAAATATCCACTTGCAGATTCTACAAAAAGAGTGTTTGAAAGCTGAACTATGAAAGCAAGGTTCAACTCTGTGAGTTGAATGCAAACATCACAAAGAAGTTTCTCACAATGCTTCCGTGTAGTTCTGGGAAGTTTATCCCGTTTCCAACGAAATCCTCAGAGAGGTCCAAATATCCACTTGCAGATTCTACAGAAAGTGTGTTTGGAAACTGCGCCATCTAAAGGAATGTTCAGCTCTGTTAGTTCAATGCAATGATCACTAAGAATTGTCTGTGAATGCTTCCGTTTGGTTTTTAGATGAAGTTATTTCCTTTACTACAGTAGGCCTCAAAGCAGTCCAAATCTCCAATCGCAGATTCTACAAAAAGATTGTTTACAACCTGATCTATCTATAGGAATGTTCAACTCTGTGAGTCGAATGCAATCATCACAAAGTAGTTTCTGAGAATGCTTCCATCTAGTTTTTATGTGAAGATTTTCCTTTTCCACCACAGGCCTCTAAGCCCTCCAAATGTCCACTTGCAGTTTCTAGAAAAAGAGGGTTTCAGAGCTGCTCTGTCAAGAGGAAAGTTCAATTCTTGAAGTGGAACACAAACATCACAAAGCAGTTTCTGAGAATGCTCCTGTTTAGTTTTTCTGTGAAGATGAACCCGTTTCCAACGAAATCTACACAGAGGTCCACATATCCACTTGCACAATCCAAAGAAAGAGAGTTTCAAAACTGCTCCATCAGCAGGATTGTTCACCTCTGTGAGTTGAATGCAGTCATCACAGGAAACATTCTGAGAATGCTTCTGTCTAGGTTTGATGTGAAGATATACCCGTTTCGAAGGAAGGCCACAAAGTGGTCCAAATATCCACTTGCAGATTCTACAAAAAGAGTGTTTGAAAGCTGAACTATGAAAGCAAGGTTCAACTCTGTGAGTTGAATGCAAACATCACAAAGAAGTTTCTCACAATGCTTCCGTGTAGTTCTGGGAAGTTTATCCCGTTTCCAACGAAATTCTCAGAGAAGTCCAAATATCCACTTGCAGATTCTACAGAAAGTGGGTTTGGAAACTGCTCCATCTAAAGGAATGTTCAGCTCTGTTAGTTCAATCCAATGATCACTAAGAATTGTCTGTGAATGCTTCCGTTTGGTTTTTAGATGAAGTTATTTCCTTTACTACAGTAGGCCTCAAAGCAGTCCAAATCTCCAATCGCAGATTCTACAAAAAGATTGTTTACAACCTGCTCTATCTATAGGAATGTTCAACTCTGTGAGTCGAATGCAATCATCACAAAGAAGTTTCTGAGAATGCTTCCATAAAGTTTTTATGTGAAGATTTTCCTTTTCCACCACAGGCCTCAAAGCCCTCCAAATGTCCACTTGCAGATTCTAGAAAAAGAGGGTTTCAGAGCTGCTCTGTCAAGAGGAAAGTTCAATTCTTTAAGTGGAACACAAACATCACAAAGCAGTTTCTGAGAATGCTCCTGTTTAGTTTTTCTGTGAAGATGAACCCGTTTCCAACGAAATCTTCACAGAGGTCCACATATCCACTTGCAGAATCCAAAGAAAGAGAGTTTCAAAACTGCTCCAACAGCAGGATTGTTCACCTCTGTGAGTTGAATGCAGTCATCACAGGAAACATTCTGAGAATGCTTCTGTCTAGGTTTGATGTGAAGATATACCCGTTTCGAAGGAAGGCCACAAAGTGGTCCAAATATCCACTTGCAGATTCTACAAAAAGAGTGTTTGAAAGCTGAACTATGAAAGCAAGGTTCAACTCTGTGAGTTGAATGCAAACATCACAAAGAAGTTTCTCAGAATGCTTCCGTGTAGTTCTGGGAAGTTTATCCCGTTTCCAACGAAATCCTCAGAGAAGTCCAAATATCCACTTGCAGATTCTACAGAAAGTGGGTTTGGAAACTGCTCCATCTAAAGGAATGTTCAGCTCTGTTAGTTCAATCCAATGATCACTAAGAATTGTCTGTGAATGCTTCCGTTTGGTTTTTAGATGAAGTTATTTCCTTTACTACAGTAGGCCTCAAAGCAGTCCAAATCTCCAATCGCAGATTCTACAAAAAGATTGTTTACAACCTGCTCTATGTATAGGAATGTTCAACTCTGTGAGTCGAATGCAATCATCACAAAGTAGTTTCTGAGAATGCTTCCATCTAGTTTTTATGGGAAGATTTTCCTTTTCCACCACAGGCCTCAAAGCCCTCCAAATGTCCACTTGCAGATTCTAGAAAAAGAGGATTTCAGAGCTGCTCTGTCAAAAGGAAAGTTCAATTCTTCAAGTGGAACACAAACATCACAAAGCAGTTTCTGAGAATGCTCCTGTTAATTTTTCTGTGAAGATGAACCCGTTTCCAACGAAATCTTCACAGAGGTCCACATATCCACTTGCAGAATCAAAAGAAAGGGAGTTTCAAAAGGGCTCCATCAACAGGATTGTTCACCTCTGTGAGTTGAATGCAGTCATCACAGGAAACATTCTGAGAATGCTTCTGTCTAGGTTTGATGTGAAGATATACCCGTTTCGAAGGAAGGCCACAAAGTGGTCCAAATATCCACTTGCAGATTCTACAAAAAGAGTGTTTGAAAGCTGAACTATGAAAGCAAGGTTCAACTCTGTGAGTTGAATGCAAACATCACAAAGAAGTTTCTCAGAATGCTTCCGTGTAGTTCTGGGAAGTTTATCCCGTTTCCAACGAAATCCTCAGAGAGGTCCAAATATCCACTTGCAGATTCTACAGAAAGTGTGTTTGGAAACTGCGCCATCTAAAGGAATGTTCAGCTCTGTTAGTTCAATCCAATGATCACTAAGAATTGTCTGTGAATGCTTCCGTTTGGTTTTTAGATGAAGTTATTTCCTTTACTACAGTAGGCCTCAAAGCAGTACAAATCTCCAATCGCAGATTCTACAAAAAGATTGTTTTCACCCTGCTCTATCTATAGGAATGTTCAATTCTGTGAGTCGAATGAAATCATCACAAAGTAGTTTCTGAGAATGCTTCCATCTAGTTTTTATGTGAAGATTTTCCTTTTCCACCACAGGCCTCAAAGCCCTCCAAATGTCCACTTGCAGATTCTAGAAAAAGAGGGTTTCAGAGCTGCTCTGTCAAGAGGAAAGTTCAATTCTTGAAGTGGAACACAAACATCACAAAGCAGTTTCTGAGAATGCTCCTGTTTAGTTTTTCTGTGAAGATGAACACGTTTCCAACGAAATCTTCACAGAGGTCCACATATCCACTTGCAGAATCCAAAGAAAGAGAGTTTCAAAACTGCTCCATCAGCAGGATTGTTCACCTCTGTGAGTTGAATGCAGTCATCACAGGAAACATTCTGAGAATGCTTCTGTCTAGGTTTGATGTGAAGATATACCCGTTTCGAAGGAAGGCCACAAAGTGGTCCATTATCCACTTGCAGATTCCACAAAAAGAGTGTTTGAAAGCTGAACTATGAAAGCAAGGTTCAACTCTGTGAGTTGAATGCAAACATCACAGAGAAGTTTCTCACAATGCTTCCGTGTAGTTCTGGGAAGTTTATCCCGTTTCCAACGAAATCCTCAGAGAGGTCCAAATATCCACTTGCAGATTCTACAGAAAGTGTGTTTGGAAACTGCGCCATCTAAAGGAATGTTCAGCTCTGTTAGTTCAATCCAATGATCACTAAGAATTGTCTGTGAATGCTTCCGTTTGGTTTTTAGATGAAGTTATTTCCTTTACTACAGTAGGCCTCAAAGCAGTCCAAATCTCCAATCGCAGACTCTACAAAAAGATTGTTTACAACCTGCTCTATCTATAGGAATGTTCAACTCTGTGATTCGAATGCAGTCATCACAAAGTAGTTTCTGAGAATGCTTCCATCTAGTTTTTATGTGAAGATTTTCCTTTTCCACCACAGGCCTCAAAGCCCTCCAAATGTCCACTTGCAGATTCTAGAATAAGAGGGTTTCAGAGCTGCTCTGTCAAGAGGAAAGTTCAATTCCTGAAGTGGAACACAAACATCACAAAGCAGTTTCTGAGAATGCTTCTGTTTAGTTTTTCTGTGAAGATGAACCCGTTTCCAACGAAATCTTCACAGAGGTCCACATATCCACTTGTAGAATCCAAAGAAAGAGAGTTTCAAAACTGCTCCATCAGCAGGATTGTTCACCTCTGTGAGTTGAATGCAGTCATCACAGGAAACATTGTGAGAATGCTTCTGTCTAGGTTTGATGTGAAGATATACCCGTTTCGAAGGAAGGCCACAAAGTGGTCCAAATATCCACTTGCAGATTCTACAAAAAGAGTGTTTGAAAGCTGAACTATGAAAGCAAGGTTCAACTCTGTGAGTTGAATGCAAACATCACAAAGAAGTTTCTCAGAATGCTTCCGTGTAGTTCTGGGAAATTTATCCCGTTTCCGACGAAATCCTCAGAGAGGTCCAAATATCCACTTGCAGATTCTACAGAAAGTGTGTTTGGAAACTGCGCCATCTAAAGGAATGTTCAGCTCTGTTAGTTCAATGCAATGATCACTAAGAATTGTCTGTGATTGCTTCCGTTTGGTTTTTAGATGAAGTTATTTCCTTTACTACAGTAGGCCTCAAAGCAGTCCAAATCTCCAATCGCAGATTCTACAAAAAGATAGTTTACAACCTGCTCTATCTATAGGAATGTTCAACTCAGTGAGTCGAGGGCAATCATCACAAAGTAGTTTCTGAGAATGCTTCCATCTAGTTTTTATGTGAAGATTTTCCTTTTCCACCACAGACCTCAAAGCCCTCCAAATGTCCACTTGCAGATTCTAGAAAAAGAGGGTTTCAGAGCTGCTCTGTCAAGAGGAAAGTTCAATTCTTGAAGTGGAACACAAACATCACAAAGTAGTTTCTGAGAATGCTTCTGTTTAGTTTTTCTGTGAAGATGAACCCGTTTCCAACGAAATCTTCACAGAGGTCCCCATATCAACTTGCAGAATCCAAAGAAAGAGAGTTTCAAAAGTGCTACATCAACAGGATTGTTCACCTCTGTGAGTTGAATGCAGTCATCACAGGAAACATTCTGAGAATGCTTCTGTCTAGGTTTGATGTGAAGATATACCCGTTTCGAAGGAAGGCCACAAAGTGGTCCAAATATCCACTTGCAGATTCTACAAAAAGAGTGTTTGAAAGCTGAACTATGAAAGCAAGGTTCAACTCTGTGAGTTGAATGCAAACATCACAAAGAAGTTTCTCAGAATGCTTCCGTGTAGTTCTGGGAAGTTTATCCCGTTTCCAACGAAATCCTCAGAGAGGTCCAAATATCCACTTGCAGATTCTACAGAAAGTGTGTTTGGAAACTGCTCCATCTAAAGGAATGTTCAGCTCTGTTAGTTCAATCCAATGATCACTAAGAATTGTCTGTGAATGCTTCCGTTTGGTTTTTAGATGAAGTTATTTCCTTTACTACAGTAGGCCTCAAAGCAGTCCAAATCTCCAATCGCAGATTCTACAAAAACATTGTTTACAACCTGCTCTATCTATAGGAATGTTCAACTCTGTGAGTCGAATGCAATCATCACAAAGTAGTTTCTGAGAATGCTTCCATCTAGTTTTTATGTGAAGATTTTCCTTTTCCACCACAGGCCTCAAAGCCCTCCAAATGTCCACTTGCAGATTCTAGAATAAGAGGGTTTCAGAGCTGCTCTGTCAAGAGGAAAGTTCAATTCCTGAAGTGGAACACAAACATCACAAAGCAGTTTCTGAGAATGCTCCTGTTTAGTTTTTCTGTGAAGATGAACCCGTTTCCAACGAAATCTTCAAAGAGGTCCACATATCCACTTGCAGAATCCAAAGAAAGAGAGTTTCAAAACTGCTCCATCAGCAGGATTGTTCACCTCTGTGAGTTGAATGCAGTCATCACAGGAAACATTCTGAGAATGCTTCTGTCTAGGTTTGATGTGAAGATATACCCGTTTCGAAGGAAGGCCACAAAGTGGTCCAAATATCCACTTGCAGATTCTACAAAAAGAGTGTTTGAAAGCTGAACTATGAAAGCAAGGTTCAACTCTGTGAGTTGAATGCAAACATCACAAAGAAGTTTCTCAGAATGCTTCCGTGTAGTTCTGGGAAGTTTATCCCGTTTCCAACGAAATCCTCAGAGAGGTCCAAATATCCACTTGCAGATTCTACAGAAAGTGTGTTTGGAAACTGCGCCATCTAAAGCAATGTTCAGCTCTGTTAGTTCAATGCAATGATCACTAAGAATTGTCTGTGAATGCTTCCGTTTGGTTTTTACATGATGTTATTTCCTTTACTACAGTAGGCCTCAAAGCAGTCCAAATCTCCAATCGCAGATTCTACAAAAAGATTGTTTACAACCTGCTCTATCTATAGGAATGTTCAACTCTGTGAGTCGAATGCAATCATCACAAAGTAGTTTCTGAGAATGCTTCCATCTAGTTTTTATGTGAAGATATTTCCTTTTCCACCACAGGCCTCAAAGCCCTCCAAATGTCCACTTGCAGATTCTAGACAAAGAGGGTTTCAGAGCTGCTCTGTCAAGAGGAAAGTTCAATTCTTGAAGTGGAACACAAACATCACAAAGCAGTTTGTGAGAATGCTCCTGTTTAGTTTTTCTGTGAAGATGAACCCGTTTCCAACGAAATCTTCACAGAGGTCCACATATCCACTTGCAGAATCCAAAGAAAGAGAGTTTCAAAACTGCTCCATCAGCAGGATTGTTCACCTCTGTGAGTTGAATGCAGTCATCACAGGAAACATTCTGAGAATGCTTCTGTCTAGGTTTGATGTGAAGATATACCCGTTTCGAAGGAAGGCCACAAAGTGGTCCAAATATCCACTTGCAGATTCTACAAAAAGAGTGTTTGAAAGCTGAACTATGAAAGCAAGGTTCAACTCTGTGAGTTGAATGCAAACATCACAAAGAAGTTTCTCAGAATGCTTCCGTGTAGTTCTGGGAAGTTTATCCCGTTTCCAACGAAATCCTCCAGAGAGGTCCAAATATCCACTTGCAGATTCTACAGAAAGTGTGTTTGGAAACTGCGCCATCTAAAGGAATGTTCAGCTCTGTTAGTTCAATGCAATGATCACTAAGAATTGTCTGTGAATGCTTCCGTTTGGTTTTTAGATGAAGTTATTTCCTTTACTACAGTAGGCCTCAAAGCAGTCCAAATCTCCAATCGCAGATTCTACAAAAAGATTGTTTACAACCTGCTCTATGTATAGGAATGTTCAACTCTGTGAGTCGAATGCAATCATCACAAAGTAGTTTCTGAGAATGCTTCCATCTAGTTTTTATGTGAAGATTTTCCTTTTCCACCACAGGCCTCAAAGCCCTCCAAATGTCCACTTGCAGATTCTAGAATAAGAGGGTTTCAGAGCTGCTCTGTCAAGAGGGAAGTTCAATTCCTGAAGTGGAACACAAACATCACAAAGCAGTTTCTGAGAATGCTTCTGTTTAGTTTTTCTGTGAAGATGAACCCGTTTCCAACGAAATCTTCACAGAGGTCCACATATCAACTTGCAGAATCCAAAGAAAGAGAGTTTCAAAAGTGCTCCATCAACAGGATTGTTCACCTCTGTGAGTTGAATGCAGTCATAACAGGAAACATTCTGAGAATGCTTCTGTCTAGGTTTGATGTGAAGATATACCCGTTTCGAAGGAAGGCCACAAAGTGGTCCAAATATCCACTTGCAGATTCTACAAAAAGAGTGTTTGAAAGCTGAACTATGAAAGCAAGGTTCAACTCTGTGAGTTGAATGCAAACATCACAAAGAAGTTTCTCACAATGCTTCCGTGTAGTTCTGGGAAGTTTATCCCGTTTCCAACGAAATCCTCAGAGAAGTCCAAATATCCACTTGCAGATTCTACAGAAAGTGGGTTTGGAAACTGCTCCATCTAAAGGAATGTTCAGCTCTGTTAGTTCAATGCAATGATCACTAAGAATTGTCTGTGAATGCTTCCGTTTGGTTTTTAGATGAAGTTATTTCCTTTACTACAGTAGGCCTCAAAGCAGTCCAAATCTCCAATCGCATATTCTACAAAAAGATTGTTTACAACCTGCTCTATCTATAGGAATGTTCAACCCTGTGAGTCGAATGCAATCATCACAAAGTAGTTTCTGAGAATGCTTCCATCTAGTTTTTATGTGAAGATTTTCCTTTTCCACCACAGGCCTCAAAGCCCTCCAAATGTCCACTTGCAGATTCTAGAATAAGAGGGTTTCAGAGCTGCTCTGTCAAGAGGAAAGTTCAATTCCTGAAGTGGAACACAAACATCACAAAGCAGTTTCTGAGAATGCTTCTGTTTAGTTTTTCTGTGAAGATGAACCCGTTTCCAACGAAGTCTTCACAGAAGTCCACATATCCACTTGCAGAATCCAAAGAAAGAGAGTTTCAAAACTGCTCCATCAGCAGGATTGTTCACCTCTGTGAGTTGAATGCAGTCATCACAGGAAACATTCTGAGAATGCTTCTGTCTAGGTTTGATGTGAAGATGTACCCGTTTCGAAGGAAGGCCACAAAGTGGTCCAAATATCCACTTGCAGATTCTACAAAAAGAGTGTTTGAAAGCTGAACCATGAAAGCAAGGTTCAACTCTGTGAGTTGAATGCAAACATCACAAAGAAGTTTCTCAGAATGCTTCCGTGTAGTTCTGGGAAGTTTATCCCGTTTCCAACGAAATCCTCAGAGAGGTCCAAATATCCACTTGCAGATTCTACAGAAAGTGTGTTTGGAAACTGCGCCATCTACAGGAATGTTCAGCTCTGTTAGTTCAATGCAATGATCACTAAGAATTGTCTGTGAATGCTTCCGTTTGGTTTTTAGATGAAGTTATTTCCTTTACTACAGTAGGCCTCAAAGCAGTCCAAATCTCCAATCGCAGATTCTACAAAAAGATTGTTTACAACCCGCTCTATCTATAGGAATGTTCAACTCTGTGAGTCCAATGCAATCATCACAAAGTAGTTTCTGAGAATGCTTCCATCTAGTTTTTATGTGAAGATTTTCCTTTTCCACCACAGGCCTCAAAGCCCTCCAAATGTCCACTTGCAGATTCTAGAAAAAGAGGGTTTCAGAGCTGCTCTGTCAAGAGGAAAGTTCAATTCTTGAAGTGGAACACAAACATCACAAAGCAGTTTCTGAGAATGCTTCTGTTTAGTTTTTCTGTGAAGATGAACCCGTTTCCAACGAAATCTTCACAGGGGTCCACATATCCACTTGCAGAATCCAAAGAAAGAGAGTTTCAAAACTGCTCCATCAGCAGGATTGTTCACCTCTGTGAGTTGAATGCAGTCATCACAGGAAACATTCTGAGAATGCTTCTGTCTAGGTTTGATGTGAAGATATACCCGTTTCGAAGGAAGGCCACAAAGTGGTCCAAATATCCATTTGCAGATTCTACAAAAAGAGTGTTTGAAAGCTGAACTATGAAAGCAAGGTTCAACTCTGTGAGTTGTACGCAAACATCACAAAGAAGTTTCTCAGAATGCTTCCGTGTAGTTCTCGGAAGTTTATCCCGTTTCCAAAGAAATCCTCAGAAAAGTCCAAATATCCACTTGCAGTTTCTACAGAAAGTGTGTTTGGAAGCTGCTCCATCTAAAGGAATGTTCAGCTCTGTTAGTTCAATGCAATGATCACTAAGAATAGTCTGTGAATGCTTCCGTTTGGTTTTTAGATGAAGTTATTTCCTTTACTACAGTAGGTCTCAAAGCAGTCCAAATCTCCAATCGCAGATTCTACAAAAAGATTGTTTACAACCTGCTCTATCTATAGGAATGTTCAACTCTGTGAGTCGAATGCAATCATCACAAAGTAGTTTCTGAGAATGCTTCCATCTAGTTTTTATGTGAAGATTTTCCTTTTCCACCACAGGCCTCAAAGCCCTCCAAATGTCCACTTGCAGATTCTAGAAAAAGAGGGTTTCAGAGCTGCTCTGTCAAGAGGAAAGTTCAATTCTTGAAGTGGAACACAAACATCACAAAGCAGTTTCTGAGAATGCTCCTGTTTAGTTTTTCTGTGAAGATGAACCCGTTTCCAACGAAATGTTCACAGAGGTCCACATATCCACTTGCAGAATCCAAAGAAAGAGAGTTTCAAAACTGCTCCATCAACAGGATTGTTCACCTCTGTGAGTTGAATGCAGTCATCACAGGAAACATTCTGAGAATGCTTCTGTCTAGGTTTGATATGAAGATATACCCGTTTCGAAGGAAGGCCACAAAGTGGTCCAAATATCCACTTGCAGATTCTACAAAAAGAGTGTTTGAAAGCTGAACTGTGAAAGCAAGGTTCAACTCTGTGAGTTGAATGCAAACATCACAAAGAAGTTTCTCAGAATGCTTCCGTGTAGATCTGGGAAGTTTATCCCGTTTCCAACGAAATCCTCAGAGAAGTCCAAATATCCCCTTGCAGATTCTACAGAAAGTGGGTTTGGAAACTGCTCCATCTAAAGGAATGTTCAGCTCTGTTAGTTCAATCCAATGATCACTAAGAATTGTCTGTGAATGCTTCCGTTTGGTTTTTAGATGAAGTTATTTCCTTTACTACAGTAGGCCTCAAAGCAGTCCAAATCTCCAATCGCAGATTCTACAAAAAGATTGTTTACAACCTGCTCTATCTATAGGAATGTTCAACTGCTGTGAGTCGAATGCAATCATCACAAAGTAGTTTCTGAGAATGCTTCCATCTAGTTTTTATGTGAAGATTTTCCTTTTCCACCACAGGCCTCAAAGCCCTCCAAATGTCCACTTGCAGATTCTAGAATAAGAGGGTTTCAGAGCTGCTCTGTCAAGAGGAAAATACAATTCCTGAAGTGGAACACAAACATCACAAAGCAGTTTCTGAGAATGCTTCTGTTTAGTTTTTCTGTGAAGATGAACCCGTTTCCAACGAAATCTTCACAGAGGTCCACATATCCACTTGCAGAATCCAAAGAAAGAGAGTTTCAAAACTGCTCCATCAGCAGGATTGTTCACCTCTGTGAGTTGAATGCAGTCATCACAGGAAACATTCTGAGAATGCTTCTGTCTAGGTTTGATGTGAAGATATACCCGTTTCGAAGGAAGGCCACAAAGTGGTCCAAATATCCACTTGCAGATTCTACAAAAAGAGTGTTTGAAAGCTTAACTATGAAAGCAAGTTTCAACTCTGTGAGTTGAATGCAAACATCACAAAGAAGTTTCTCAGAATGCTTCCGTGTAGTTCTGGGAAGTTTATCCCGTTTCCAAAGAAATCCTCACAGAGGTCCAAATATCCACTTGCAGATTCTACAGAAAGTGTGTTTGGAAACTGCTCCATCTAAAGGAATGTTCAGCTCTGTTAGTTCAATCCAATGATCACTAAGAATTGTCTGTGAATGCTTCCGTTTGGTTTTTAGATGAAGTTATTTCCTTTACTACAGTAGGCCTCAAAGCAGTCCAAATCTCCAATCGCAGATTCTACAAAAAGATTGTTTACAACCTGCTCTATCTATACGAATGTTCAACTCTGTGAGTCGAATGCAATCATCACAAAGTAGTTTCTGAGAATGCTTCCATCTAGTTTTTATGTGAAGATTTTCCTTTTCCACCACAGGCCTCAAAGCCCTCCAAATGTCCACTTGCAGATTCTAGAATAAGAGGGTTTCAGAGCTGCTCTGTCAAGAGGAAAGTTCAATTCCTGAAGTGGAACACAAACATCACAAAGCAATTTCTGAGAATGCTTCTGTTTAGTTTTTCTGTGAAGATGAACCCGTTTCCAACGAAATCTTCACAGAGGTCCACATATCCACTTGCAGAATCCAAAGAAAGAGAGTTTCAAAACTGCTCCATCAGCAGGATTGTTCACCTCTGTGAGTTGAATGCAGTCATCACAGGAAACATTCTGAGAATGCTTCTGTCTAGGTTTGATGTGAAGATATACCCGTTTCGAAGGAAGGCCACAAAGTGGTCCAAATATCCACTTGGAGATTCTACAAAAAGAGTGTTTGAAAGCTGAACTATGAAAGCAAGGTTCAACTCTGTGAGTTGAATGCAAACATCACAAAGAAGTTTCTCACAATGCTTCCGTGTAGTTCTGGGAAGTTTATCCCGTTTCCAACGAAATCCTCAGAGAGGTCCAAATATCCACTTGCAGATTCTACAGAAAGTGTGTTTGGAAACTGCGCCATCTAAAGGAATGTTCAGCTCTGTTAGTTCAATCCAATGATCACTAAGAATTGTCTGTGAATGCTTCCGTTTGGTTTTTACATGAAGTTATTTCCTTTACTACAGTAGGCCTCAAAGCAGTCCAAATCTCCAATCGCAGATTCTACAAAAAGATTGTTTACAACCTGCTCTATCTATAGGAATGTTCAACTCTGTGAGTCGAATGCAATCATCACAAAGTAGTTTCTGAGAATGCTTCTATCTAGTTTTCATGTGAAGATATTTCCCTTTCCACCGCAGGCCTCAAAGCCCTCCAAAGGTCCACTTGCACATTCTAGAAAAAGAGCGTTTCATAGCTGCTCTTTCCAGAGGAAAGTTCAATTCCGGAAGTTGAACACAAACATCACAAAGTAGTTTCTGAGAATGCTCCTGTTTATTTTTTCTGTGAAGATGAACCCGTTTCCAACGAAATCTTCACAGAGGTCCTCATATCCACTTGCAGAATCCAAAGAAAGAGAGTTTCAAAACTGCTCCATCAACAGGATTGTTCACCTCTGTGAGTTGAATGCAGTCATCACAGGAAACATTCTGAGAATGCTTCTGTCTAGGTTTGATGTGAAGATATACCCGTTTCGAAGGAAGGCCACAAAGTGGTCCAAATATCCACTTGCAGATTCTACAAAAAGAGTGTTTGAAAGCTGAACTATGAAAGCAAGGTTCAACTCTGTGAGTTGAATGCAAACATCACAAAGAAGTTTCTCAGAATGCTTCCGTGTAGTTCTGGGAAGTTTATCCCGTTTCCAACGAAATCCTCAGAGAAGTCCAAATATCCACTTGCAGATTCTACAGAAAGTGGGTTTGGAAACTGCTCCATCTAAAGGAATGTTCAGCTCTGTTAGTTCAATCCAATGATCACTAAGAATTGTCTGTGAATGCTTCCGTTTGGTTTTTAGATGAAGTTATTTCCTTTACTACAGTAGGCCTCAAAGCAGTCCAAATCTCCAATCGCAGATTCTACAAAAAGATTGTTTACAACCTGCTCTATCTATAGGAGTGTTCAACTCTGTGAGTCGAATGCAATCATCACAAAGTAGTTTCTGAGAATGCTTCCATCTAATTTTTATGTGAAGATTTTCCTTTTCCACCACAGGCCTCAAAGCCCTCCAAATGTCCACTTGCAGATTCTAGAAAAAGAGGGTTTCAGAGCTGCTCTTTCAAGAGGAAAGTTCAATTCCTGAAGTGGAACACAAACATCACAAAGCAGTTTCTGAGAATGCTTCTGTTTAGTTTTTCTGTGAAGATGAACCCGTTTCCAACGAAATCTTCACAGAGGTCCACATATCCACTTGCAGAATCCAAAGAAAGAGAGTTTCAAAACTGCTCCATCAGCAGGATTGTTCACCTCTGTGAGTTGAATGCAGTCATCACAGGAAACATTCTGAGAATGCTTCTGTCTAGGTTTGATGTGAAGATATACCCGTTTCGAAGGAAGGCCACAAAGTGGTCCAAATATCCACTTTCTGTAGATTCTACAAAAAGAGTGTTTGAAAGCTGAACTATGAAAGCAAGGTTCAACTCTGTGAGTTGAATGCAAACATCACAAAGAAGTTTCTCAGAATGCTTCCGTGTAGTTCTGGGAAGTTTATCCCGTTTCCAACGAAATCCTCAGAGAAGTCCAAATATCCACTTGCACATTCTACAGAAAGTGTGTTTGGAAACTGCTCCATCTAAAGGAATGTTCAGCTCTGTTAGTTCAATGCAATGATCACTAAGAATTGTCTGTGAATGCTTCCGTTTGGTTTTTAGATGATGTTATTTCCTTTACTACAGTAGGCCTCAAAACAGTCCAAATCTCCAATCGCAGATTCTACAAAAAGATTGTTTACAACCTGCTCTATCTATAGGAATGTTCAACTCTGTGAGTCGAATGCAATCATCACAAAGTAGTTTCTGAGAATGCTTCCATCTAGTTTTTATGTGAAGATTTTCCTTTTCCACCACAGGCCTCAAAGCCCTCCAAATGTCCACTTGCAGATTCTAGAATAAGAGGGTTTCAGAGCTGCTCTGTCAAGAGGAAAGTTCAATTCCTGAAGTGGAACACAAACATCACAAAGCAGTTTCTGAGAATGCTTCTGTTTAATTTTTCTGTGAAGATGAACCCGTTTCCAACGAAATCTTCACAGAGGTCCACATATCCACTTGCAGAATCCAAAGAAAGAGAGTTTCAAAACTGCTCCATCAGCAGGATTGTTCACCTCTGTGAGTTGAATGCAGTCATCACAGGAAACATTCTGAGAATGCTTCTGTCTAGGTTTGATGTGAAGATATACCCGTTTCGAAGGAAGGCCACAAAGTGGTCCAAATATCCACTTGCAGATTCTACAAAAAGAGTGTTTGAAAGCTGAACTATGAAAGCAAGGTTCAACTCTGTGAGTTGAATGCAAACATCACAAAGAAGTTTCTCAGCATGCTTCCGTGTAGTTCTAGGAAGTTTATCCCGTTTCCAACGAAATCCTCAGAGAAGTCCAAATATCCACTTGCAGATTCTACAGAAAGTGTGTTTGGAAACTGCTCCATCTAAAGGAATGTTCAGCTCTGTTAGTTCAATGCAATGATCACTAAGAATTGTCTGTGAATGCTTCCGTTTGGTTTTTAGATGAAGTTATTTCCTTTACTACAGTAGGCCTCAAAGCAGTCCAAATCTCCAATCGCAGATTCTACAAAAAGATTGTTTACAACCTGCTCTATCTATAGGAATGTTCAACTCTGTGAGTCGAATGCAATCATCACAAAGTAGTTTCTGAGAATGCTTCCATCTAGTTTTTATGTGAAGATTTTCCTTTTCCACCACAGGCCTCAAAGCCCTCCAAATGTCCACTTGCAGATTCTAGAATAAGAGGGTTTCAGAGCTGCTCTGTCAAGAGGAAAGTTCAATTCCTGAAGTGGAACACAAACATCACAAAGCAGTTTCTGAGAATGCTTCTGTTTAGTTTTTCTGTGAAGATGAACCCGTTTCCAACGAAATCTTCACAGAGGTCCACATATCCACTTGCAGAATCCAAAGAAAGAGAGTTTCAAAACTGCTCCATCAGCAGGATTGTTCACCTCTGTGAGTTGAATGCAGTCATCACAGGAAACATTCTGAGAATGCTTCTGTCTAGGTTTGATGTGAAGATATACCCGTTTCGAAGGAAGGCCACAAAGTGGTCCAAATATCCACTTGCAGATTCTACAAAAAGAGTGTTTGAAAGCTGAACTATGAAAGCAAGGTTCAACTCTGTGAGTTGAATGAAAACATCACAAAGAAGTTTCTCAGAATGCTTCCGTGTAGTTCTGGGAAGTTTATCCCGTTTCCAACGAAATCCTCAGAGAAGTCCAAATATCCACTTGCAGATTCTACAGAAAGTGTGTTTGGAAACTGCTCCATCTAAAGGAATGTTCAGCTCTGTTAGTTCAATGCAATGATCACTAAGAATTGTCTGTGAATGCTTCCGTTTGGTTTTTAGATGAAGTTATTTCCTTTACTACAGTAGGCCTCAAAGCAGTCCAAATCTCCAATCGCAGATTCTACAAAAAGATTGTTTACAACCTGCTCTATCTATAGGAATGTTCAACTCTGTGAGTCGAATGCAATCATCACAAAGTAGTTTCTGAAAATGCTTCCATCTAGTTTTTATGTGAAGATTTTCCTTTTCCACCACAGGCCTCAAAGCCCTCCAAATGTCCACTTGCAGATTCTAGAATAAGAGGGTTTCAGAGCTGCTCTGTCAAGAGGAAAGTTCAATTCCTGAAGTGGAACACAAACATCACAAAGCAGTTTCTGAGAATACTTCTGTTTAGTTTTTCTGTGAAGATGAACCCGTTTCCAACGAAATCTTCACAGAGGTCCACATATCCACTTGCAGAATCCAAAGAAAGAGAGTTTCAAAACTGCTCCATCAGCAGGATTGTTCACCTCTGTGAGTTGAATGCAGTCATCACAGGAAACATTCTGAGAATGCTTCTGTCTAGGTTTGATGTGAAGATATACCCGTTTCGAAGGAAGGCCACAAAGTGGTCCAAATATCCACTTGCAGATTCTACAAAAAGAGTGTTTGAAAGCTGAACTATGAAAGCAAGGTTCAACTCTGTGAGTTGAATGCAAACATCACAAAGAAGTTTCTCAGAATGCTTCCCTGTAGTTCTGGGAAGCATATCCCGTTTCCAAAGAAATCCTCAGAGAAGTCCAAATATCCACTTGCACATTCTACAGAAAGTGGGTTTGGAAACTGCTCCATCTAAAGGAATGTTCAGCTCTGTTAGTTCAATCCAATGATCACTAAGAATTGTCTGTGAATGCTTCCGTTTGGTTTTTAGATGAAGTTATTTCCTTTACTACAGTAGGCCTCAAAGCAGTCCAAATCTCCAATCGCAGATTCTACAAAAAGATTGTTTACAACCTGCTCTATCTATAGGAATGTTCAACTCTGTGAGTCGAATGCAATCATCACAAAGTAGTTTCTGAGAATGCTTCCATCTAGTTTTTATGTGAAGATTTTCCTTTTCCACCACAGGCCTCAAAGCCCTCCAAATGTCCACTTGCAGATTCTAGAATAAGAGGGTTTCAGAGCTGCTCTGTCAAGAGGAAAGTTCAATTGCTGAAGTGGAACACAAACATCACAAAGCAGTTTCTGAGAATGCT